>NW_021160026.1:300000-412368 GCF_000001405.40 Homo sapiens | reverse complement strand
GCCTTCAAGTCCAGCGTCGCAAGCATGGCAATACCCCTTCTCTACTAATGTTCAAAAATTAGCAGGGCATTATGGCGCGTGACTGTAATCCCGGCCACTCAGGAGGATGAGACTGGAGAATCGCTTCAACCCGGGAGATATTTGCTGCAGTGAAGCCAGTGCACCACTGCATTCCAGCCTGGGTGGCTGAGCGAGAGTCCGTCTTAAAAAAAAAAAAAAAGACACAAGAAAGAACAGACCAAAATACTCCATTGTTTCAGAACATTTCCCCAGAAGACCCCAAACGCCCTGAGTCAGGTCAAGGAGGTGGTGCTTTATTTTACTTGTCTCTCTCTCTTTCTCTCTCTCTCTCTTTCTTCCCTAACTGTTATTTGTTTTTGAAGCATACATGTGCAAGATTGTTTCATAGGTAAACTTCTGAGTAGGGGGTTCAGTGTGCCGATGATTTCCTCACCCGGATTCTCAGCGCAGTCCCCTACAGTTTTTGTGTTCTGCTCGTTTTGCTTTGTCCTGAAGCTGTCTGTCCTTCCACACGTCCTCCCTCAGGTAGGCTCCTGCGTCTCTCGTCCCCCTAGTTCTTCGCATGCATTCTCATTATGTAGTTCCCACTTATGTGTGAGAACACGCGGTATTTAGATGATTATTGTTTCATCTTCGGTGGTGGTGATGAAAGAGGCATGACACTACATCGACCCTTAGGACGCTCCCCTCCATCCCCACCCTACACCCCCTCCCCACGCACACCGTCTTTCCTGCACCCCCTCCTGAAACCCAACAAACGAAGAAAGACAGAAATTAAAGTAAGAGTTCAGCCACCAAGGCGGTGGTGGGGGGGAATGTCAAACGGTGAGCAGGCGATGGGAGTATGGGGATGTCATGGCCTAGGTAGCAACAATAGGGGACCGACTTTCCAGCCCCCACCCCACACTCCCTAATCCTCAGCCATCACTTTGGAGTTCATCCAAGGAAGGCTGGTCTCAGGGACTACATACCTAACCTCTCTGGGCTTCTATAGGATAAGATGTTATGGCCAGACGCGGAGCTCACGCCTTTAATCTCAGCACTTTGGGTGGTCAAGTTGGGTGGTACGCCTCAGGTTGGGTGTTCTAGACCAGCCTGACCATTATGGAGCTACCTAGTCTCTATGAAAAAAAAAAAATTAGCCAGGCCTGGAGGTGTTTGCCTGTGGTTTCAGCTACTCGAAAGGGTGAAGACTGGAAAATCTCTTGAACACAGGCGGCAGAGGTTGCGGTGAGCTGAGGTCACGCCACTGAACTCCAGCCTGGGCAATAAGAGCGAAACTCCACCTGAAAGACAAAAAAAAAAAAAAAAAAATGAAAAGGAAAGAAGATTTTATGAAGTATAGTTTATACCAATCGGCTCTCACTGTACCTTGAGAGATTCCGAAAATCGCTACTTAATGACCGAAGAAAACACCAGCTAACAGGTTTTGGGGAAAATACACATCTTCCTAAAATTGGTAAAATCTACTTCAACTGAAAAGAGATAAGTAAAGTAAAAACTACAAACAAAACAAAACGTAAAAACAAACACAGACCAAGGCATCGCTTGTGGAAATATTATGTAAGCAAATTGTCACTTTTTAGAAAGCATTTCTATGTTGGGCAAATACCAGTAAGGCCCAGGGAAGATCTGTGAAATGTGGCAGCATGCACCATTTTAAGGGCTGAAATCCATCTGTGTGTCTCCTTTCATCACAACTCTTTTTTTTGGGCGGGCGGATACCTGGAGTTCATGAGTTCAAGAGCAGTCTGGGCAATATAGCAAAATTCTGACTACTAAAAAGGCAAATGTTAGCTGGGTATGGTGTCACACAGAACTATGTTCCAAGAGGAAGCATCACAAATACCCATGGTCCGCAGTCAAGAAATGAACTGAGTTTACAAGTTTGTAGTGTCATTGCTGCCTCGAAAGGTGAGATGCATATGTTTGTGTCACTGCGGGTTTCTATTTCTTCTTGGAAACTCACTTATTTTTAATTACTTTTTTTTTTTTAGATGGAATCTGACTCTGTCACCCAAGCTGGAGTCCAGTGGCATGATCTGGGCTGACTGCAATCTCCATCTCCCGGCTTCAACAGATTCTACTACCTCAGCATATAGAGTAGCTGGGAGTAGAGGTGTGTGACACCACACCTGGTTAATTTTTGTATTCTTCATACAGACAGAGTTTGACTATGTTGGCCAGGCTGGTCTCAAACTCCTGACCTCGTAATCCTCCCACATCCGCCTAGCAAACTGCTGAGATGAGAGGAGTGGCCCACTGCACCCAGCCTACTGGTTTATTTTTAAAAATAGCAATTTGGGTCGGGCGCAGTGTGTCTCGCCTTTCTATATCAACCAACATTCTTTCTCGAGTCTGATGACCTGGGATCTCCCAGCACTTTGGGAGGACGAGGCCACAGGATTCCTGGAAGTTGGAGTTCAAGACCAGCCTGGGCAACATGGGAAAACCCTGTCTTTACTAAAAAGGTAAAAGTTAGCTGGGTATGGTGGCACGTGCCTGTTATCCCAGCTACTCGAGAGGCTAAGGCAAGAGAATCGCTGGAACCTGGGAGGCGGAGGTTGCAGTGGCCCGATACTGCGCCATGGCCTGACCAACAGAACAAGACTCCATCTCAAATAAATTAATAAATACGTTAGTTAATCGAAAAGTTTAAAAAGAAAACTTCAAGGACGTTGCAGGAATGCACGGGAATGCTTCTCTCATTCGTAAAGATCAGAGCAGAAACACAGTACCATCAGGTTGAGATACAGGCCATTGTGAATCTCTTCTCACTGTGCTCAACTGACACCAAAGAAGGGCAGGTTTCCATGCCGCCCGTTCATCATCACCGCTCTCGTCAAGTATAATTGCAGAGTCATGACTACACAGAGATCTCTCAACCCACCAACTGCGTCCTTACTTGTATGAGTGCAGTTGAAAGAATAAACAGGGCATTTAGCGAAGTAATCATCATATGTTCTTTTGTCTCTCGTGTCTCTCATGAAACCAATCACATTCGTGGACCACTTTTTCCCCACCCTTCGAACATCCACAGAGCACCAAAATAAAAGAGCAGTGAATGCCTTTTACGCGACAAGGAGGAAAAACAACAAAGTGAAAGTCACAGAGGCTTGTGATACACAGGGAGATACAGAATAAGGAGAATTTTCCAAAATCCACACAAAGACAGACAGACAGAGGGATGGAAAGAAAGAAATGAAGAAAAGAGAGAGAGAGTAAGGAAGATCAAGAAAAAGAAAATAGACAGACAGAGATGTAAAGGGAAGAAAGATGAAAAAGAAAACCAAAAGACATAGAAACAGAAAAAAAAAGAATGAGAAATGAGAGAAAAAAGGGAGGAAGAAAAAGAGAGAAGAAAAAGAAAAGACAGAAAGAAAGAGAAAGAAAAAAAGAGAAAAAATGAAGGAAATAAAAAAGAGGGCAGGGCATTGTGGCTCACACCTATAATCCCAGCACTTTGGGAGGCTGAGTTGGAAGAATTGCTAGAGCCTAGGACTTTGAGACCAGCCCTGGCAACACAGTGAGACCCCGTCTCTACTGAAAAAGAAAAGAAAAGAAAAAAATCCGGGCATTATGATGGCAGGCGCCTGTGGTCCCAGATCCTTTGGAGCCTGAGTTGAGAACATCGCTTGGGGTCGGGAGGTGGAGGCTGCAGCGGGTCTTGGTCAGACAAATGCTCTGCAGTCTGTTTCCGAGGCTGTCTTGAACTCCCGAGCTCTAGCGAACTGCCCTCCTCAGCCTCCGAAATTGCAGCCGCCACAACCAACGGTCCTGAAGGTGTCATTGACAGATTTTAGTAAACAGGGTGTTTCGCCATATTGCGAATTTGAACCCAGGCATTTGAAGCTGCAGTGACCCAAAGTCGCGCCACTGCACTGCACTCTGGGTGATAGAGGAAGACTCCATCTCTAAATAATTACATAAATAATAAAAACAATAACAATAATGACAAACAATAATACAAAGAAATAATAAGCAGCAATAATAATAAACAAACTCGTGGGAGTGAAAAACTATAAAAGGTAATTTAGATCACAGTTAATTGCAGTTTATTTCAAGGAATTTTTTTCTTTAACCTGTCTCTCTTACCTTCTGAAACACTCAGACTGGAGGGCAAGGCATCATCACGGCTCACTTCAGCTTCGACATCACAGAATTAAGTGATTCCTGTAGTCTCAGCCACTTGGAAGGCTGAGATAGGAAGATCACCTGAGGGAGTCCTGGAAAGTCGAGGCGGCTGTAAGCCGAGATTGCATTCTTACACTCCAACCTGCCTCAAAAACTACAAATAAATAAAAGGTAAATGTAAAACAACAGCAACTTCAGTGTGTAGAAAGAGGAGCAAGAAAAATAAAAGAAAAACAAAACGAAGAGAAACTGAAAGTACTGTGGAAACAGTTGGAGAGGAAGAAACAACGCAAGGAAAAAGCGACACCTAGTGAATGCGGGCGGTACTGCTGCTGACCAAAGTTATCTGGTCTACCTTAGAAATCCCAAGTTGACGGTCAAGTCCAACGCTTGCCGCGGACATCAGGTGGGCACGGCGACCAGAGACCTGAGGACTGGGGCCTTAGGCCCTGGTCCCAGGTCTTCCAGACAGAGAAGCCCGCGGCCGTGTCAACTGGATGTTGCTTGCTTCCCGCAGTCGGCTGATTCGCGGGCTGATCGGGAAGCCAAAGGCCAGCATCTAATCGACAGGGTCCACCCTAAAGACCAAATGTGGTGCTCGCGGAGGGAAGCGATCAGACGCAGTTGGAACCTTATCACACAGAACCGGCCCAGGTTTGAGGCCGTCTAACTTGGCAGACCTGCCAGCCATTTCCCCGCAGTCCGCTGGTTGACCCGGACAGAGAAGAGGAGTAAAGACACAAGGGTAGTGACTAGCTAGTCTTTCATCCCAGCACCCCTGAGGCGGGGAGAGGGACTGTGACCCCAACAGCCACCCACGGGCATCGCGCGAACACTACTCAGGCAGGGACTGCAGGGGCAAAACCTCTGACACCCGCGCCTCAGCCATTCGCACGAGGCTCGAAGAATCCGGTCCCAACTCGTGGAGGAATTCCCAGCGGGATGGGAGAAAGAAGCTCAATCAGAGAGGTGGAACATCGAGCAGGGGCGCCAACCCTACCTCGCAACCCCCAGCGCTGCATCTTGGAAAGCCTGCTGTTGGGGAACGACCCCTCCCAAATGCACGGCCGACGCCAATGTTATCTCGCGAGAGACAGCCCTGCATGCCCTGGGGCTCCGGGGCGGGGGGCCTGAGCAGGCCCGGGAACTAAGTCCCCGGGGGCAAAAGGAGGAAAGAAGGAAGGTAGAGGTCCAGGGCTGAATTATACAGGACACGCCACAACGCTAGTTTTCCCGCACACTGGTTGAGAGCCCCTTGTGTGGAGGGCTGACTTTCAATAGGTTGCAGTGAGGGAGTTGCTCTGCTCCATAGGAAACCCTGACCCAGAAGCAGGGCGTTTACCAATAGTTTAGTATCAGATTCCCCATGAGCATGTTATGTGACGGGCCAGGGAGCAAACGCCTTTCTGGCCGCACCCCGTTTTTTAGGATGGGGGGCCGCACCCCATTTTTTAGGATGATAAGACCGGAGCAAGGTCTTGGCGCACAGCGGGGCGGAGCGTCCGGCCGGTGGCAAAGGCTGGGGACTGGCTATCTGAGGCCAACCGAGTCTTGCCAGCGCTGCTGCATCCTTTCTTCTGGGCGGGATTCTGATTTAGAGGCGTTCAGTCATAATCCCACAGATGGTAGCTTCACCCCATTGGTTCCTCAGTCAAGCACATACACCAAATGTGTGAAACTTTGATTCCTCTCATACTCAGCAGGATTACCATGGTAGCAACACATGGGCAACAACACATGGAGAACACACGCAGTAAAACTAACCTGTCTCACATGGGTCTAACCATGATGTTTTCCAGGGCATGCACTCCGCTTTTAGATGAATCCATTCCACTTTGCCTTGCCCTTCACAAAGAAAAGAGAACTCGCTGGCCACAGTGGCTCACGCCTGTAATCCCGGCACATTGAAAGGCTGAGGCTGACGGATCACCTGATGGCAGGAGTTCGAGTCCAGCGTGGCCAACATGGTTAAACCCTGTCTCTATGAAAATACAAAAATTAGCTGGGCATAATAACGGGTGCCTGTTAACCCAGCTCCTCGGTAGGCTGAGGCAGTAGAATCGCCTGAAACCAGGAAGCGGATGTTGCAGTGAGCCGAGATTGCTCCATTGGGCTCCATCCTGAGCCTCTAAGCGAGACTCCATCTCAAAAAAGAAAAAAAAAAAAAAAAAAAAAACGAGAACTCTCTCTAGGGCTCCCACCTGCTTTTGCAGAATCAGAGAATGTGATTGCCGGCAAAGGTTGAGGGGAGGGCGCAGGGGAAAGAAGGGGGAGGAGCAAAGGCTGGAGACACAATAGCTCACTCTGGAACCTTTCCAAGTTTAGTGGGGACAATTTTGAAACTAGCTGACTCTGGAAATTACACATAATTCATAGTATTATTGCTTCTTTGAAAGGTGAGCGGTTCATGATTTTTTTTCTCAGCATTTATTCATTTACTTGTAATAAGTGCATTTAGTTTCATACAGTTTACATACAACCGGTTTGACTGTATCTGCAGAGATTTAGGATAGTTTTTCTTAATGGTAAGCCCTAGGGTGGAGCTACAATGCACTTTCCGTTGTGAACCCTGAAAACTTGAGAGAGGTCTCAGTTAATTTAGAAAGTTTACGTAACCAAGGTTCAGGACGCATACCCGTGACAGCCTCAGGAGGTTCTGAGGACATGTGCCTAAGGTAAACAGAGAACATTATCGTTTTATACATTCTAGGGAGACATGAGACATCAATCAAAGTATGCAAGATGAACATTGGTTCGGTCTGCAAAGGCGGGACAAATTAGCAAACGCGGGAAGACTGAAAGTGAGGAGGGGACTTCCTGGTCAAAGGTAGTTAAGAGACAAATGGTTGCATTCTTTGGAGTTTCTAATTAGCCTCTCCAAAGGAGGCAATCAAATATACATTTATCGCTTGAAACCAGGAGGCGAATGTTGCAGTGAGCCGAGATTGCTCCACTGGGCTCCAGCTTGAGCATCTGAGCGAGACTCCATCTCAAAAAAGAAAAAAAAAAAAGAGAAAAGAGCAGAGGAGTGACTTTGAATAGAATGGCAGGTTGGCCCTAAACAGTTGCCAGCTTGACTTTTCCCTTTACTTTAGTGATTTGGAAGCCTCAAGATTTATTTTTCTTTCACACACACAATTTTTAAAACCCAGGTAGAACTGTTCATGCTTACTAAAAAAAAAAAAAAAAAAAAAAAAGGAAGAAAGAAAAACAAATGATAGCCTAGGCGCCCTGGCTTATTTCTGTAAACTCAGCACTTTAAGAGGCTGAGGTGGGTGGATCATCTGAAGTCAGGACTTCGAGAACAGACTGGCCAACATGGCGAAATGACGTCCCTACTAAAAATACAAAAATTTGCTGGGAGTAGAGGCAGGCACATGTAATACCAGCTAGTGGGGAGGCTGAGGCAGGAGAATCGCTTGAATCCAGGAGGCAGAGGTTGCAGTGAGCCGAGATGGCGCCATTGAACTTCAACCTGGGCTACAAGAGCGAAACTGTCTCTGTCTCTAAATAAATAAAGAAATAAGCATTCCCAGCCAGGGTGGAGGTTTCCTAGGCAACAAGGCATAGGGGGAGGGACAGAAGGAGTGCCTCTGAGGTCAGGGTGGGGCCCGAGAGAAACCAGTTTTCCCTGGCTGTGCGCGGGCGGCCAGAAGTTTTGGTGTGATGCCTCCATTTTCAATAACAGTGACCGCTAGGTGACGCCAAATGACAACCGAACGACGTTCCAGCCTGGAATGAGTGGGGTCACTGGTTTAGGGGTTGTCAAGGAAGGAGAAAGAGATGGAGGCCCATGGGGTCGCCGGTCTTCTGATCTCTCCTGGATTACGTTTCCGGGCCCGAGACACCCTCCCAGACAATCCCCGCAGCTCTTCAACCAGTGTCCCTGGGGAAAAGATGATCAGTTCTCAGAAAACATTCAGACAGGCAAGAACATGCGCTCACGTAAGCACATGACAAGTATACAACTTTATATGTGATAGTGAGCTTTCTTTTGCAAAATGTCTTCGTGATGCATTTCACTACATAGTATTGTTGAAAACATCAAATTATAGGAGTGAGCACAGTGGCTCAAGCCTGTAATCCCAGGACTTCTGAAGACCAAGGTGGGAGGCTGGATAGAGGACAGGAGTTTGAGACTAACCTGGGCAACACATCGAGAGAGATTACCACTACTTAAAAATATTGCCCAGCATTGTGGCACATGCCTATATTTCCAGCTACTCAGGAAGCTGAGGCAGGAGGATTGCTTAAGCCCAGGATTCAACGTTGCAGTGAGTGAGCTGTGAACAGGCGACCAGAGTTTTTTTGTTCTCTACAGCTTACATTTTCAATAACGGTTGCCGCTAGTTGTCGCCCAAAGACAACTAAAACACGTGTCATCCTGGAATACGTGGGATCCCTGATGGAGGGGTGGGTGAGGAAGTAGGAGGGGACGGAGGCACACGGAGTCGCCCATTTTCTCATGATTCCCGTTGGACTACTTTTCTGGGTGCAGAGCATCCTCCCAGAAAGTCCCCAAAACCATTCAACCAGAGCTCCTGAAAAAAACAGTCGCACTCTCTGCCCATCGGATCATCCGGAATTTCCATTTATCCATTGAGAAGAATGCTCCATTGGAGTTTGGCGCAGGTTACGGTTACAGGCAGGGGCTGCCTCAGACAGAAGTCTAGTCTACAGAGTTTCACAGTAGACCCTAGGTTCAATCTCTCCCAAACTCAGAGTAGCAATATCTGTCACAGTAGAATGAAGTGCATGAAATGCGTGCTCCGAAGAAAGCGTGTTTCACACAGATGATTTGCACACTTATTCTTGTCCCTAGGCCAGTTGTTTCTTCCAAAATACCCATTACTCAATCGTTCACCCTCTCGTGAACCACTTAGGAATCTTGTTCTATGAATCCTGGAGCTTCAATATTTGACATCTTCAGAAGAACATGAATGCTATCCTAGCCTGGTAGCAATAAGGTACCATTTCTCAGAAAACACGCACCTATGCACACAAGCAAGCATGTATACACACATGCCCGCATCATATCTATACAATTTTACACTGTGATAGTGAGCTTTCTTTCCCTAGATAACTTCGTAATTGCTTTCGCTACATAGTATTGTTTAAAATATCAAATTATAGGTGCTGGGTGTGGAGGTTTGACTCTAGTCAAAGCACTTTGCAGGCAAAGCTGGGAGAATCGCTTGAGGTGGGGAGTGTGAGAACAGCCTGGAAAACATAGCAAAATCTAATCTCTACTAAAAATAAAACAAAATTAGTTAGGCGTTGTGGGGTGCACCTATAGTCTCAGCTACTTAAGAGGTTGAGGCAAGGATTGCTTAAGAACAGGAGTTTGAGATCCTATGATACTCACTCCTGCAACACTGCTGTGGCCCATGAATTGGCTACATGACCAATGACACGGAAGGAACATGATTACAAAATTCCTGGCAAAAAAAAAAAATAGAAAAACTTTTGTGGATAAACTTCTCTCACTGGGTAAATTACATAAAGATATGTCTGTTCTATATGAATCCCTACTAAGGGGTAACCGTATCAGAGCATGATTTTGATAATGATGTGGACAGAATGTCTTGTTCCGTGAGTATGGGTCATTCTTACTTCCCTGTCACCCCCATCATCACCCAATGGGCTTATAAACAAGGTGAACATAGTAGCAGAAATAGAAGCAATGCACGGGCTAAGCAATATGAACTTTGAATCCCAAAGGCCAGTCTGGCTACAGTCAATTCTGAATGTTTAATTTGACAGCAGCACAGATCTACACTGAGTCTTTGATATGACATCATTTCCAGGGTGATCCACCAGGCACCTGGTAGTAAATTTATTACGTTGAATAACTTTTATAATATAGGCGGCAACAGTTTGTACTCACTGGAGTAGGCTCTTACTATGGATACAAATTTGCTTTCCCTGGGTGGAATTCTGCCAAAACTACCCTCCATGGACTCACAGAATCCCTCATCCATCCCTATGATATTCCACTTAGCATTGCTCAGACCAAGAAACTCACTTCACAGCCAAAGTGTAGCAGTGTGCTCATCTTCACGGATGTCAGTGGACTTACCATGCTTTCCATTATCTGGAAGCAACTGGATTAATAGAATGATAGGTTTGTCAGCATTTCCAGCCACCCTAACACCTATATCTCCCTGTGCACCCTAAGGGACTCCACAGAATGGTGAATTAGATACATATATCCAAAGGAACTACATACATTTGTGTTCCCCCATCCAAACCTCCAATCGTATGTAGTTTAATATTTAAAGTTGCTGAAGTTAGCTGTAGACAAAGGACAAAAATTAGAAGTGCAGAGGGAATGGGTTCCTTCATGTGGGTAAAGGAGAGACTTACAAAACCTGCTTAATGTGGCTTTTTGCAGTCTTTTTGCTGCTCACAGCTGAACCACATGAACTTCTACTGTTTTGGACTCATCCAAACCTCAACATTAGCTTTAAGAGCTCCTTGATTTTCCAGCAGGAGAAAAGTGAACATGCAAAGCTCTCAGGTTCATTGTTATAATCCTCTCAAGGATCAGTCTCATTAGCAGACAGCAGAGTCTTGATCTCTTGCTTCACCAAACTAACCACTTGGCCGAGAGAATTTGCTGTTGGTCCTGGGGGAACTTCTCATATCCCTTGCAAGCTCTTCAAGTATTTGTTCCTTTTCCCCTTTCAGAAAGTTGTGTTTATCTCAGCATGCCATAGTCATCTCCAAAATTAAATAATTGTGACGTATCTAAGATTTTATAGCATTTGTAAACAACATATTAACCTTCCATTTTCATCGATGCTGGTAGAAGGCATGAGACACTGAAGTATGAAAAAAAATACCTACTATTTACTGCTTACCTGGAGGCAAAAGCCTCATATTTGTATTAGTTCTCCTTGTCCATACTACGTTTTTTGAAGGATTTCAAAAGGCTCATATGGACATTGTACATGGGGAAGATTTGTGTCATAGCTGAGCAGACTCAAGACTAAGAAACCTCAATCTTTTTAAAGTAGGTTACATGGAAGCCTGTCCAACCTTTGCGTCACAAAGAAAAATTGTCTTTATTATATTGATTGAGTAATTTATCTGCCATTCACCTGAAGAGAAAAACTACTACCCTTTTTCCAGGTTATTTGTGTACAAAAATCTTTGAAAAATAACGTGGAACAGGACAGGTATGTGATGTAATCCACAACAAAACAACAAACTCTAAGAGATTTGTGGAGAACTACATCTCAGTAGCATGCATCTTTCCCATTAAATGTTGCACTAAGCAATCCTGTGATAAAAGACAATCCATTGAAGACTTTCGACATGAAGACTAACCTCGGTTGTTTTGTGTCGTGGGATTGTTCAAGTGATTCTCCAGTGTCAGCCTCCAAAGTAGCTGGGAATACAGTCTCCCAAGACCACGCTCAGCTTATTTTTGTATTTTTAGTAGAGGCGGGGTTTTACCATATTGGCCAGACAGGTCTCGAACTCCTGATCTCAGGTGGTCCGCCTGCCTTGGCCTCACAAAGTGCTAGGAATATAGGCATGAGCCTCCGTGCCCGGCCCCAGAAATGAAAGTTCTAGTGCGCAGTAATGTAATTCTGACAGATAAATGACAGGTGAGAGTAAGTGAAAAATCTAACACAATTTAACATTTTTACATATTTAGACATATTGAAATTGGTTAGCTTATTGGAAAAAGTTAAATGACTAGTAATATATACAGCATATTTATTCTGAATGAATTGCTAATCTAGATTTGAGACATGAAATAATTATTTTTACAACACAGAAACATAAACTGCATTTCCATATACAATTAACAATTTGACAGTAAATTAAGAAAACAATTGTTCGCAACAACATTAAAATAATATAATTCTTAGCAATAAATTTAATAAGGAGGTAAATATCTTGTACAATAAAAAATACAGGATCAGAATGTTTATGAAAAAAACTAAAAAGGACTTAAATAACTGGCAACAAATTCCATGTTCCTGAACCGGAAGATTTAATGAAGTTAAGATGACAATACCACTGCCCAAAGGAGTGTACAGATGTACTGTAATCCCAAGTTTTCATTTTTCCAACTTTTCTTCTGCAAAAAGAAAATAGCTCATTTAAAACTTCATATGGAATTTGAACATCCTCTGAATGTACACAATAATCTTGAAAAGAAGGACAAAATTAGGTGGCTCACAATTTTAAATTTGAAAACATAAAAAGCTACTAAAATTATAACAGTTTGATAGTGGCATAAGAACAATTGTGGAGATCAAATAAATAAAATAGATACTCCAAAAAACCCTTTCATAAATTATTGTTTGTCTTTTTAAAAGTGTGTCTTAATCATTATGTAAAGACAGTTTGTTACACAAGAAATGCTGGGAAAACAAGTCCACATTTAAACCAGTAAAGTTGAATCTTTATCACATTCCAAGTAGAAAAATTAAATAAAAATTGATTAAAGATATAAAAACAAGTGTTAAACTTTAGTGGTTTCTAATAGTTGTTTTTATTTAACTGGGGACAGCACTAACATGAACAACTTTATACACACAAACTAGAAAACTTTAACGAAATAAATAGATTCCTAGATATACACACTCTCTCAAGATTAAGCCAGGAAGACAATGATTTCCTGAACAGACCAGTAAAAAACTCTGATATTAAATAGGTAATAAGTAGCTTGCCAATCAAAAAAAAAAGCTCTGGACTTTATGGACTTACAGCCAAATTCTACCAAATGTACAAAGAAGAGCTGGTACAATTCCTACAGAAACTATACCCAAAAATTGAGAAGGAGGGTCTTCTCCCCAACTCATTCTATGAGGACAGCATGATCTTGACACCAAAACAGGCAGAGACACAACAAAAACACAAAAAATTAGCCGGGCTTGGTAGCAGACACCTGTAGTCCCAGCTACTTGGGAGGCTGAAGCAGGAGAATGGCGTGAACTCAGGAGGCAGAGATTGCATTAAGCAGAGATCGCGCCAGTGCAATCCACTCCAGCCTGGGCAACAGAGGGAGACACCGTCAAAAAAAAAAAAAAAAGAAAGAAGGGAAAGAAAACTTCAGGCCAACATTCTTGACGAACATCAATACAAAAGTTCTCAACAAAATATTTGGGAGGCAAATCCAGCAGCACATCAAACAGGTAATCCGTCATGATCAAGTAGGCTTCCTCCTTAGGACGCAAGGTTGGTCCATCATGTGCAAATCAATAAATGTAATACATTACATAAACAGAACTAAAAACAAAAAAAAGATGATTATCTCAATAGACGCAGAAAATAATAAAAGCCGTCTATAAGAAACCCACAGCCAACAATGTGTTGAATGGGCAAAAGCCGGGAACATTATTTTTTAAAACCAGTAGAAGGCAAGAATGCCCTCTCTTGCCATTTCTATTCAACTTAGTATTGACAGTACTGACCAGAGCAATCAGGCTAGAGAAAGAAATCCGAAGAACATCCAAATAGGAAGAGAGAAAGCCAAACTATTTCTGTTTGCAGATAACATAATTCTCTATCTAGAAAACCCTGTAGTTTCATCTACAAAGCTTCTTTAGTTAACAAACAGCTTCAGCAAAGTTTCAAGATACTAAATCAATGTGCAAAGATCACTAACATTTTTCTACACCAACGATAGCCACACTGACAGCAAAATCAGAAAGGCCATCCCATTCACAATTGCCACTAAAATAATAAAATATCTGGAAATGCAGCTCACCAGGGAGGTGAAAGAGCTCTACAATGAGATTTACAAAACACTGCTCAAAGAAATCAGAGAAGATACAAACAAATGGAAAACCATCCCATGCTCACGGATAGGAAGATGCAATATCACTAAAATGGCTATACTTCACAAAGAAATTTACAGATTTAATACTATTTCCATCAAACTGCCAATGAAATTTTTTACGGAGCTAGAAAAAACTATTTGAAAACTCATATAGGCCGGGGGCTGTGGCTCACACCTGTAATCCCAGCACTCTGGGAGGCCAAGGGGTGTGGATCATGAGGTCAGGAGATCCAGACCGTCCTGGTCAACATGGCAAAACTCCTTCTCTACTAAAAATACAAAAAATAGCTGGGAGTAATGGCAGCGCTTGTAATCCCAGCTACTTGGGAGGCTGAGGCAGGAGAATCCCTTGAACATGTATATAATATATACGTATGTTATACATATATTTATTATACTTTAAGTTCTAGGGTACATGTGCACAACGTGCAGGTTTGTTACTTATGTATACATGTGCCATGTTGGTGAGCTGCACCCATTAACTCGTCATTTACATTAGGTATATCTCCAAATGCTATCCCTCCCCCCTCCCCCCCCAACAACATTCCCCAGTGGGTAATGTTACCCTTCCTGTGTCCAAGTGTTCTCATTGTTCAATTCCCACCTATAAGCGAGAACATGTGGTGTTTGTTTTTTTTTGTCCTTGTGATAGTTTGCTGAGAATTATCTTTTCCAGCTTCATCCATGTACACACAAAGGACATGAACTCATCATTTTTTATGGCTGCATAGCATTCCATGGTGTATATGGGCCACATTTGCTTGATCCAGTCTATCATTGTTGGACATTTCGGTTGGTTCCAAGTATTTGCATTGTGAGTAGTGCCACAATAAACATACGTGTGCATGTGCCTTTATAGCAGCACCTAACATGACTTTTCTTATTTTCTTAGATTGTGAGTTTCTTTCAGACTAGGACTCTGCTGAGTCAGCTCTCTGTCCTCCCTGTACTCCTTATCACAGTGCTTGGCTATGACAGATGTTTAATAAATATTTGAGAAACACAGTAAATCCATATGAGTGACACAATGTTACGGAAAACTCTGGTCATTCAACAAATTCTATTCTCCCATTTATTAGGGACACAGCAGAATTACATTTCTTAGCCTCATTTGCATGAGATGTGGAAACGTGACCAGTTATTGTTAATGGTTGTAGAGTGAGATGGATGTGAGTCACATTAAGATGAGTCCATCAAGTCTTCTCGCATGCATTTCTTAAAGTACTTTATTTTCAGGGGACTGAACACAAACGGCAACCACGACTCATGGATGATGAAGACAAATAATGAAAGAACTTTGAGTTTCTGAATGACCACATGGAGAGGAGGTGCCTTTTCAATTTGGCCACCGAACAACTCTGTGATGTGTGCTAAAAAGTGCTGTTAATCTACTGCAAATTAGGGATGTGCTGGTATTTGACAGTTCAGCATAATCTAAAACATGCACTTAAAAACCTATTCACTGAATTAATTTAAAAGGCATTTTTATAGTACACTTAAGATGACAAACGTTAAGGTGGTCTTGCAATTTTTACCCTTCCATTTTGACCGTACTATGTTATATTAGAGAACTTGAGCCACATAAATGATCAGTTTTTATTGCGTCTATTTGATTCTTCTCTCTTTTCTTCTTTACTAGTCTTGCTAGCAGTCTATCAATTTTGTTGATCGTTTCAAAAACCAGCTCCTGAATTCACTGATTTTTTGAAGGGTTTTTTATGTTTCTATTTCTTTCAATTCTGCTCTGATCTTAGTTATTTCTTGCCTTCTGCTAGCTTTTGAATGTGTTTGCTCTTGCTTCTCTAGTTCTTTTAATTGTGATGTTAGGGTGTCAATTTTAGATCTTCTCTGCTTTCTCTTGTGGGCCTTTAGTGCTATAAATTTCCCTCTACACGCTGCTTTGAATGTGTCCCATAGATTCTGGTATGTTGTGTCTTTGTTCTCGTTGCTTTCAAAGAACATCTTTATTTCTGCCTTCGTTTCGTTATGTACCCAGTAGTCATTCGGGAGCAGGTTGTTTGGTTTCCATGTAGTTGAGCGGTTTTGAGTGAGTTTCTTAATCCTGAGTTCTAGTTTTATTGCAGTGTGGTCTGAGAGAGAGGTTTTTATAATTTCTGTTCTTTTACAATTTGCTGAGGAGTGCTTTACTTCCAACTATGTGGTCAATTTTGGAATAAGTGCGGTGCGGTGCTGAGAAGAATGTATATTCTGTTGATTTGGGGTGGACAGTTCTGTAGATGTCTATTAGGTCTGCTTGGTGCAGAGCTGAGTTCAATTCCTGGATATCCTTGTTAACTATCTGTCTCATTGATATGTCTAATGTTGACAGTGGGGTGTTAAAATCTCCCATTACTATTGTGTGGGAGTCTAAGTCTCTTTCTAGGTCTCTAAGGACTTGCTTTATGAATCTGTGTGCTCCTATATTGGGTGCATATATATTCAGGATAATTAGCTCTTCTTATTGCATTGATCCCTTTATCATTACGTAATGGACTTCTTTGTCTCTTTTGATCTTTATTGTTTTAAAGTCTGTTTTATCAGACACTAGGATTGTAACCCCTGCCTTTTTCTGTTTTCCATTTGCTTGGTAGATCTTCCTCCATCCCTTTATTTTGAGCCTATGTGTGTCTCTGCACGTGAGATGCGTTTCCTGAATACAGAACACTGATGGGTCTTGACTCTTTATCCAATTTGCCAGTCTGTGTCTTTTAATGGGAGAATTTAGTCCATTTACTTTTAAGGTTAATATTGTTTTGTGTGCATTTGATCCTGTCATTATGATGTTAGCTGGTTATTTTGCTCGTTAGTTGATGCAGTTTCTTCCTAGCCTCGATGGTCTTTACAACTTGGCATGTTTTTGCAGTGGCTGGTACCGGTTGTTCCTTTCCATGTTTAGTGCTTCCTTCAGGAGCTCTTTTAGGGCAGGCCTGGTGGTGACAAAATCTCTCATCGTTTGCTTGTATGTAAAGGATTTTATTTCTCCTTCACTTATGAAGCTTAGTTTGAATGAATATGAAATTCTGGATTGAAAATTCTTTTCTTTAAGAATGTTGAATATTGTTCCCCACTCTTCTGGCTTGTAGAGTTTCTGCCGAGAGATCAGCTGTTAGTCTGATGGGCTTCCCTTTGTGGGTAACCCGACCTTTCTCTCTGGCTGCCCTTAACATTTTTTCCTTCATTTCAACTTTGGTGAATCTGACAATTATGTGTCTTGGAGTTGCTCTTCTTGAGGATTATCTTTTTGGTGTTCTCTGTATTTCCTGAATTTGAATGTCACCCTCCCTTGCTAGATTGGGGAAGTTCTCATGGATAATATCCTTCAGAGTGTTTTCCAACTTGTTTCCATTCTCCTCATAACTTTCAGGTACACCAATCAGATGTAGATTTGGTCTTTTCACACAGTCCCATATTTCTTGGAGGTTTTGTTCATTTCTTTTTATCTTTTTCTCTCTAAACTTCTTTTCTCACTTCATTTCATTCATTTGATCTTCCATCACTGACACCCTTTCTTCCAGTTCATCGAATTGGCTACTGAGGCTTGTGCATTCATCACGTACTTCTCGTACATTGGTTTTCAGCTCCATCAGGTCCTTTACGAACTTCTCTGCATTGGTTATTCTAGTTAGCTATTCATCTAATTTTTTTAAAGGTTTTTCACTTCTTTGCCATGGGTTTGAACTTCCTCCTTTAGCTCGGAGTAGTTTGATCGTCTGAAGCCTTCTTCTCTCAATTCGTCAAAGTCATTCTCTGTCCAGCTTTGTTCCATTGCTGGTGAGGAGCTGTGTTCCTTTGGAGGTGGAGAGATACTCTGATTTTTAGAATTTTCCGTTTTTCTGCTCTGTTTTTTCCCCATCTTTGTAGTTTTCTCTCCTTTGGTCTTTGATGATTGTGATGTACAGATGGGATTTTGTTGTGGATGTACTTTCTGTTTGTTAGTTTTCCTTCTAACAGTCAGAACCCTCAGCTGCAGGTCTGTTGGAGTTTGCTGGAGGTCCACTCCAGACCCTGTTTGCCTGGGTATCAGCAGTGGAGGCTGCAGAACAGCGGATATTGGTGAAAAGCAAATATTGCTGCCTGATTGTTCCTCTGGAAATTTTGTCTCAGAGGAGTACCCGGCCGTGTGAGGTGTCAGTCTGCCCCTACTGGGGATGCTTCCCAGATAGGCTACTCGGGGGTCAGGGACCCACTTGAGGAGGCAGTCTGTCTGTTCTCAGATCTCCAGCTGCATGCTGGGATAACCACTACTCTCTTCAAAGCTGTCAGACAGGGACATTTAAGTCTGCAGAGGATTCTGCTGCCATTTGTTTGGCTATTCCCTGCCCCCAGAGGTGGAGTCTACAGAGTCAGGCAGGCCTCCTTGAGATGCAGTTGGCTCCACCCAGTTGGAGCTTCCTGGCTGCTTTGTTTACCTACTCAAGCCACGGCAATGGTGGGCGCCCCTCCCCCAGGCTTGTTGTTGCCTTGCAGTTTGATCTCAGACTGCTGTGCTAGCAATGATTGTGGCTCTGTGGGCGTAGGACCCTCTGAGCCAGGTGCAGGATATAATCTCCTGGTATGCCGTTTGCTAAGACCTTTGGAACAGTACAGTGTTAGGGTGGGAGTCACCCGATTTTCCAGGTGCAATCTGTCACCCCTTTCTTTGACTAGGAAAGGGTATTCCCTGACCCCTTGCACTTCCTGGGTGAGGCGATGCCTCACCATGCTTTGGCTCACATGGGGTGCGCTGCACCCACTGTCCTGCACCCACTTTCTGACACTCCCCAGTGAGATGAGCCCGGTACCTCAGTTGGAAATGCAGAAATCACCTGTGTTCTGCATTGCCGATGCTGGGAGTTCTAGACTAAGGCTTTTCCTATTCGCCCATCTTGGCTCCACCCCCTCTCTAATTAAATTTTAATGTGAATAGTCTGAAATTATTTTTTCTATATCCTTCAGTTTTTTCATAATTCTTCTCTAACTTTTAGGTTCTATGTTTATGCCCCTTATATTTTCCAGAAATGTTTCTGAAGATTATTGCCCATTTTAAAGTTAAACTAATTTTTTATTTAGTTTTTTGTTTATTCTGTATTCTGCTTATCAATCGCTTGTCAGCTGTGTAGTTTGCACATATTTCCTCTCATTTTCTTTCTTTTTTTTTGAGACAGTCTTGCTCTGTCACCCATGCTGGAGTGCAGTGGCACGATCTCAGCTCACTGTAACCTCCACCTCCTGGGTTCAAGAGATTCCCTGGCCTCAGCCTCCTGAGCAATTGGGCTTTCAGGAACCACGCCCGGCTAATTTTTGTATTTTTAGTAGACACAGTGTTTCACCATGTCAGCCAGGCTGGTCTAGAACTCCTGACCTCAGGTGATCCACCAGCCTCAGCCTCCCAAAATACTGAGTTTATAGGTGTGAGCCATCGTCCCTGGCCAATAGAATATTATTTATACAATGGAGTATTAGCTAGCCATAAAAATAAATACAGAACTGATATGTGCCACAACATGGATAAATAATGAAAACACGCTCAAAGAGAAAAGCCAAAGAAAAAAGGTCACATATTATATTATTATATTTCTATAAAGTGACTAGAATAGAAAACTAGAAATAGAAGCCGGGTGTGATGGCTCACGCCTGTAATCCCAGCACTTTGGGTGGCCGAAGCAGGCAGATCACGACGTCAGGAGATCGAGACCATGCTGGCTAACATGGTGAAACCCTGTCTCTACTAAAAATACAAAGAAAAATAGCTGGGCGTGCTGACAGGCATCTGTAGTCCCAGCTACCCTGGAGGCTGAGGCAGGAGAATGGCGTGAACCAGGGAGGTGGAGCTTGCAGCGAGCCGAGATCGTGCCACTGCACTCTAGCATGGGTGACAGAGTGAGACACCAAAAAAAAAAAAAAAAAAGGAAAGAAAGAAAGAGAGTACTAGAGATAGAAAGTCAATCAGTGGTTACCAAGGAAATTCGGTGGATGAATGATAAATTACTGCTTAATGGATATGGAGTTTTTTTGGTGAGAGGGTGATGAAACTATTTTGGAATTTGATAAGGGTGACAGTTGCATAGCATTGTAAATAAACTGAAAAGCACTGAATTTTACACTTTATATTAGATAGTATGTAGAACTCTATATTGTGTAAATTTTAGCTGACTAAAACATTTTAACAAGCAAAGAAAAATAAACTGTAGGCTTTGTGTGGTGGCTCACACCTATAATCTCAGTTTTTTTCAGAGGCTGATACAAGCAGATCACGAGGTGAAGAGATCGAGACCATCCTGGACAACATGGCGAAACCCCGTCTCTACTAATAATACAAAAATTAGCCAGGCTTGGTGGCACGCCCTTATATTCCCAGCTACTCAGGAGGCTGAGGCAGGAGAATCACTTGAACCTGGGAGGTGGAGGTTGCAGTGAATCACTTGAACCCGGGAGGTGGAGGTTGCAGTGAGCCGAGATCATGCCACTCCACTCCAGTCCCGTGAAAGAGCGAGAAGAGAGAGACTCTGATAAAGAAAGAAAGAAAGAAAGAAAGAAAGAAAGAAAGAAAGAAGAAAGAAAGAAAGAAGAAAGAAAAAAGAAAATAAGGAAAGAAAGAAAAGAAAGGGAGGGAGGAAGGAAGGAGAAAGAAAGAGAAAGAAAGAAAGAAAGAAAGAAAAGGAAGGAAGGAATGAAGGAAGAGGAAAGAAAGAAAGAAGAAAGAAAGAAACGGAAGGAAGGAATGAAGGAAGAACAAAAGAAAGAGAAAGAAGAAAGAAAGGAAGAAAGAAAAGAAACGAAGGAGAAAGAAAGAAAGAGAAAGAAAAAGAAGGAAAGAAAGAAAGAAGAAAGAAAGAAAAAGAAAGAAGAAAGAAAGAAAGAAGAAAGAAAGAAAGAAAGAAAGAAAGAAAGAAAGAAAGACAGACAGAAAAAAGAAATACTATGAAACAGGAGGGCAAATGAGGGAGCCCTGGAAAACGATTCTGTCTCCACTTTCAAAAAAGATCGCCCCCTCCAAAAAAAAGATCCCCAAAGCTCTGACCGAGAAGGTCTTCTCCTTGGATCCCAGAGCAGTGGTCTGAGGATCTGTCACATTCTACACCAGCCTGAGTGCTCAGTCCCGCACACCCCTAGGCCACTTTCTGCTCTGAAAGACCTTCGGAGGACACAGAGCAATTTCCAAAGTTCTGAGAGTACAGTGGTAATTGATAGACAGCAAGGTCAACTCACTTCTTTAAGCCTTTCAAATTTAGGGGTCACACAGTTCAATTATGTCAATTTGTACAGGGAAAAATTGAAGGTTTTCACTACTGTATTCCTCTCCATATTGGGTGTAGGGGGATTCCTTACCATTTTAATTATGCAGATTAATGAATGGAGAAAGTAAGGTTTTGTCCTTGGAAAGCTATCCTGGTGTTGGCTGCAGCCCAGTCAGATCCATGGAAGCCTTGAGCCTCTCAAGCCATCAGCCTATTGCCTTCCCCTGCCCATGTTATGGGTCCTGGGCATGTTACCAGAAGATGGGGTGCTTCTACCCCATGACAAAGCTGCCCCTATCCTCTATCTTTTTTCTTCTCATCACTCCATCAGCGTTAACTCCTCTTATGACCTTTAGCCTGAGAAGTCTGTGTGTGTATGCACAAACCTGTGGAATTCTATGATGCAGACATGAGTTTGCTTCATATGACGAGAAAATTGGCAAAAATCCCCAGGATCTCAGGGACTCATTCCCAAAACAAACCCCATGAGAGTGTTGAGCCCTGGCCTAGGAGGTCAGAATGCTCTTTTTTCCCTTGGACTCTGCCCACTTCATCATCTCTGGGCCAGTCCCTGCTTCTCTCCAGACCTCAGTTTTTCAGATATCCAATGAGATGTGAGATGTCAAAATGCTTAAGCCACAGCTCAACATGCATATGGTCTAACGTCCCTACCAACTAGGATTGGTGTAGCAAGGCTGTGATCAGGGTGTTCCCAGATCTTCCTCACTTGGGAAGAAATAGATGGGTTCTGCACTGGGCACATGGACCTTCTGTTCAAGAAGGGTCATACACACTTGATCTTTCAAGGCCCACAGACAATGTGTGCAAGTGAGCCCCACCTCCACCCCCAAACAGCTTCCATGGAGCATAACAATATGTCCCCTGTCCTCTGAGTCTGGAAAGTAGTGACATCCTCACTTAACACATGGATTGATGGACCCTTTGTATAATTAAATCTTCCCCACTACTGCCTCCACCACTATGCAGATAGAAAAAAGTCTTAGGAAAGTGACATAACATCCAGAATTACACAGAGATTCCATGGCAAAGCTAGCACTTTAGTTAGGATTACATTTTCCTACATATAGAAGAAAACCCAGACCGGGTGCTGTAGTTCACGCCTGTTATCCCAACACATTGGGAGGTTGAGGCAGACGGATCACCAGAGGTCTGGAGTTTAAGACCAGCCTGACCAACATAGAGAAACCCAGTCTCTACCAAAAATACAAAATTTTCCAGGCGTAGTGGTGCATGCCTGTAATCCCTGCTTCTTGAGAGGCTGAGGCAGGAGAATCGCTTGAACCCGGGAGGTAGAGATTGTGGTGAACCGAGATCGCGCCATTGCACTCCAGTCTGGGCAATAAGAGTGAAACTCCGTCTCAAAAAAATTAAAAAAGAAAACCCAATATAATAGTGCAGATAAGAGAGAGAATGCTTTCTTTCTCATAAATAAGGATGTTAGAGCTGGGCAGTCTGACTCTGAACTGTACACGAAGGTAGTCAAAAATAGTCTGTCATTTTGCTAAAATGTTTTTCTTTTTTGAACTTTGTTTTAAGTTCAGGGGTATATGGGCAGGATGTGCAGGTTCTTTAAATATGGAAACATACCGTCCCGAAGTTTGGTTGTGCAGATTGTTTTATCACCCAGGTATTAAGTCTACTAACTATTAGTTATTTTTTCTGATTCTCTCCCTCCTCTCACCCCCTACCTCCTGATAGGCCCTGGTGCGTGTTGCTCCCCTCCATGTTTCTGTGTGTTCTCATCATCTACCCTCCACTTATAAGTGAGAAAATGTGGTATTTGGTTTTCTGTTTCTGTTAGTTTTTTAAGGATAATGGCCTCCAGCTCCATCCATGTCCCTACAAAGGACATAATCTTGTGCTTTTTTATGGCTGCATAGTACTCCATGTTGTATATGAACTACGTTTTCTTCAACCAGTCTATTATTGATGAACATGTAGGCTGATTTGATGTCTTTGCTATTGTGAATAGGGCTGTGATGAACTTGTGCGTGCAGGTATCTTTATAATAGAATGACTTATATTTGTTTGGGTATATACCCAGTAATGAGATTGCTAGGTCAAATGGTATTCTTTTCTTTAGGTCTTTGAAGAATCACCACACTGTCTTCCACAACGTTTGAACTCGACCAACAGGGTAAAAATGTTGCTTTTTCTCCACAACTTTGTCAGCATCTGTGATTTTTTGATTTTTTCATGGTAACCATTATACCTGGTATAAAATGATATCTCATTGTGGTTTGGATTTACATTTCTCTAATGGTCACTGATGTTGAACTTCTGTTTCATACGCTTATTGGCTGCATGTATGTCTTCTTTCAAGAAGTGTTTCTGTGTGTCCTTTGGCCAATTTTTAATAAGGTTGTTTGTTTTTCTCGTGTAAATTTATGTTCCTTATGGATGCTAGAAATTAGATTATTGTCAGATGCACAGTTTGCAAAAATTTTCTCCCATTCTATACATTGTCTGTTTACTCTGTTGATAGTTTCTTTTGCTGTGCAAAAGCTCTTTAGTTTAATTAGATCCCATTTGTCAATGTTCTCTTTGTTCTAATTGCTTTTGCGCCTTCATCATAAAATATTTGCCCATGCCTATGTCCTGAATGGTATTGCCTAGGTTGTCTTCCAAAGTTTTTATAGTCTTGGGTTTTACATTTAAACCATGTTGAGTTTATTGTTGTATATGATGTAAGGAATCTTTCTTTATTTTTTAAATTTAAATTGGGTTCTGAAGTACAAGTGCAGAATGTGTAGGTTTGTTACATTGGTATATGTGTGCCATGGTGGTTTACTGCACCTATCAGCCCGTTATCCAGGCTTCAAGTCCCACATGTATTAGCTAGTTATCCTAATGCTCTCCCTCCCTTCGACTCCCATTCCCTGACTAGCCCCAGTTGTGTTGTTTCCCTTCCAGTGTCCATGTGTTCTTATTGTTCAACTCCCACTTATGAGTGAGAATATGCGGTGGTTAGTTTTCTGTTCCTGTGTTAGTTGCAGAGGATGATGGAGGAAGGGGTTCAGTTTCAATTTTTTGCACATGGCTAGGCAGTTATCCCAGCACCATTTATTGAGTACAGAGTCGTTTTTTCATTGCTTGTTTTTGTCAGGATTGTCGAAGATCAGTTAGTTGTAGGTGTGCAGTCTTATTTCTGGGTCCTCTATTCTGTTTCATTGGTCTGTGTGTCTGTTCTTGTACCAGTACCATGCTGTTTTGGTTTCTGTAGCCCTGTAGCACAGTTTGAAGTTGGGTAGTGTGATGCCTCCAGCTTAGTTCTTTTTGTTTGGGGTTGTCTTGACTATTCAGGCCTTTGTTGGTTCCATATAAATTTTAAAATAGCTTTTCTAGTTTTGTGAAAAATGTCATTGGTAGTTTAACGGAAATACTATTAACTCTATAAATTTCTTTGTGGAGTGTGTCTACTTTAACAATATTAACTCTTTCTATCCATAAGCATGAAATGTTTTTCTATTTGTTTATGTCATGTCTGATTTCTTTGAGAAGTGGTTTATAGTTCTCCTTGTAGTGGCCTTTCACTTCTCTTGTTAGATACATTCCTTGGTATTTTATTCTTTTTGTGGTAACTGTGAATGAGTGTTCATTCACGATTTTGCTCTTGGCTTGACTGTTGTTGGTATATAAGGATTTAGTGCTAGTGATTTTTGCCCATTTATTTTGTATCTTGGGACTTTGTTAAAGATATTTATCAGCTTAAGAAGCTTTGGGGTTGAGACAATAGGGGTTTTCAAGATATAGAATCATGTCGTCTGACATCAGGTGTTGTTTAATTTCTTTTCTTTCAATTTGAATGCCTTTTTCTCTTACCTGATTGCTCTGCCCAGTACTTCCAATACTATCTGAAATAGGATTCATGAGAGAGGGCATCCTTGTCTTGTGCCCGTTTTAAAAGGGAATGCTTTCAGCTTTTGCCCTTTCAGTATGATATTGGCTGTGGGTTTGTCATACATGGTTCTTATTATATTGAAGTATGTTTTTTTCAATACCTAGTTTATTGAGAGTTTTTACAAGAATGGATGTTGAATTTTATGGATGCAAAGATTTATCTGCATCTATTCAGACAATCATGTGGCTTTTGTCTTTAGTTCTGTTTATGTGATAAATCACATATTGATTTGTGTACGTTGAATTAAAGTTGCATCCCACAGATGGAGCCTACTTGATTGTGGTGGATAAGCTTTCTGATGCGCTGCTGGATTTGGTTTGCCCCTATTTTGTTAAGAATGTTTGCATAAATGTTCATCAAAAATATTGGCATGAAGTTTTTTTTTTTCTTTTTTTATTTTATTATTATTATACTTTAAGTTTTAGGGTACATGTGCACAATGTGCAGGTTAGTTACATATGTACGCATGCACCATGCTTGTGTGCTGCACCCATTAACTCGACATTTAGCATTAGGTATATCTCCCAATGCTATCCTTCTCCCCTCCCCCCTCATCACAACAGTCCCCAGAGTGTGATGTTCCCCTTCCTGTGTCCATGTGATCTCATTGTTCAATTCCCACCTATGAGTGAGAACATGCGGTGTTTGGTTTTTTTGTTCTTGTGATAGTTTACTGAGAATGATGATTTCCAATTTAATCCGTGTCCCTACAAAGGACATGAACTCATCATTTTTTATGGCTGCATAGTATTCCATGGTGTATATGTGCCACATTTTCTTAATCCAGTCTATCATTGTTGGACATTTGGGTTGGTTCCAAGTCTTTGCTATTGTGAATAGTGCCGCAATAAACAAACGTGTGCCTGTGTCTTTAAAGCAGCATGATTTATAGTCCTTTGTGTATATACCCAGAAATGGGATGGCTGGGTCAAATGGTATTTCTAGTTCTAGATCCCTGACGAATTGCCACACTGACTTCCACAATGGTTGAACTAGTTTACAGTCCCACCAACAGTGTAAAAGTGTTCCTATTTCTCCACATCTCCTCCAGCACCTGTTGTTTCCTGACTTTTTAATGATTGCCATTCTAACTGGTGTGAGATGGTATCTCATTGTGGTTTTGATTTGCATTTCTCTGATGGCCAGTGATGGTGAGCATTTTTTCATGTGTTTTTTGGGTGCATAAATGTCTTCTTTTGAGAAGCGTCTGTTCATGTCCTTCGCCCACTTTTTGATGGGGTTGTTTTCTTCTTGCAAATTTTTTGAAGTTTTGTTTTTTTTCTTGTGTGTCTGCCAGGTTTTGGTACCAGGATGATGTGCTCTCATAGAAAGAGTCGGGAAGGAAGCCCTCTGTTTCAGTTTTTTGAAATAATTTTAGTGGGAATTGTACCAGTTCTTCTTCATAAATGTCATAACCTTCAGCTTTTAATCTTTGTGTTTCTGATCTTTTTGTGGTTTGTAGGCTATTTATTACTGCCTGAATTTCAGAGCCTGTTGTTTGTCTTTTCAGGGATTCAATTTCTTCCTGGTTTATTCTTGAAGGGTGTATGTGTCCAGAAATTTATCCATTTCTACTGAATTTGTTATCTTATAGGCATAGAGGTGTTTATGATATTTTCTGATGGTTATTTTTATTTCTGTGGGGTCAGTGGTAACCCTTATTATTTCTGATTGTGTTCATTTTAATTTTTGATATTTTCTTCCTTATTAGTCTACTACTGGTGTATTTATATTATTGGTTTTTTCAAAGAAAAAGAAACAGCTCCTGAATTTGTTGATCTGTTGAATGGTTTCTCTTGTCCCTATCTCCATCAGTTCAGGTCTGATTTTGGTTATTTCTTGTCTTCTGCTAGCTCTAGAACTTCTTTGCTCTTGTTCCTGTAGTTATTTTTGTTGTGAAGTTGTAACTTGAGACATTTCTGGCATTTTAATGTGGGCATTTAATGCCATAAATTTTCATCTTAATACTGCCTTAGCTGTGTCCCAGAGATTCTGGTATGTTTTGTCTTTGTTCTCATTGGTTTCAAAGAACTCCTTGATATCTGCCTTAATTTCATTATTTACCCAAAAGTTATTCAGGAGCAGGTGATTCAATTTCCATTTAATTTTATGGTTTTCAGTAAATTATTTCATCGTGAGTTTTAATTTGATTGTGCTGTGATCTGAGCCACTGTTTATTATGATTTCAGTTCTTTTGCATTTGCTGAAGAGTGTTTTACTTCTGGCTAAGTGACCAATTTCAGAGAAAGTGTCATGTAGTGATGAGAAGAATGTATATTCTGCTGTTTTCATGTGGAGAGTTCTGTAAATATATATCATGTCCATTTGATCCAGAGCTAAGTTCAGGTCCTGAACATCTTTGTTAATTTTCTGTCTCAATAATCTTTCTAATACTGTCAGTGGGATGTTAAAGTCGGTCACTATTATTGTGTGGTGTTCTAAGTCTCTTTCAAGATATCTAGAAACTTGTTATATGAATCTGGGTACTCTTGTGTTGGGTGCATATATATTTAGAATAGTTAATTCTTGTTGAATTGAATTATTTGCCGTTATGTAATGACCCTCTTTGTTGTTGTTGTTGTTGTTGTTTTTAATCTGTGTTGCTTTAAAGTCTGTTTTGTTGGAAAGTAAGACTGCAACCCTTGCTTTTTTAGGTTTTCCACTTGCTTGGTGAAATTTCCTCCATCCCTTTATTTTTAGCCTATGTGTGTCCCCGCATGTGAGATGGGTGTCTTGAAGAGCATACCAATGGGTCTTGGTTTTTATACAATTGCCACCCTGTGTGTTTCAACTGGGGCATTTATCCCATTTACATTTAAGGTAAGTATTGTTATGCGTAGATTTTATCTTGTTATCTTGATGCTAGCTGGTTATTTTTATTTTTCAGACTTGTTTATGTGGTTGATTTATAGTGTCAATGGTCTGTGTACTTGAGTGTGTTTTTGTGGTGGCTGGGAATAATTTTCCCTTTCCAAATTGGTGCTTCCTTCAGGAGCTCTTGAAAAGCATGTCTGGTGTTCATGAATTAACTCGGAATTTGCTTGTCTGAAAGGGATGTTATTTCTCCCCAGATTAAGCTTAGTTTGGCCAGATATAAAATTCTGGCTTAAAGTTTATTTTCTTTAAGAACGTTAAATATTGGCCCCCAATCTCTTTTGGCTTGTAGGGTTCTCACTGACAGCTCTGCTCTTAGTCTGATCAACTTCTTTTTGTAGGTGACTTGGCTTTTCTCTGCGGCTGAGCTTTTTTTTCTTTTTTTTTCTTCCATTTCAAGTTTGGGGAATCTGACGTTTATGTGTCTTGGGTATGATTTTTTCTTGGAGTATCTTACTGAACTTCTCTCCATTTTCTGAATTGTTGGCCAGTGTAGCAAGGTTGGGGAAGTTCTCATTGATGATATCCTGAAATATGTTTTCCTGATTGGTTCCATTCTCCCCAGCTCTTTCAAGTACACCAATCAGTTGTAGATTTGGTCTCTTTACATAATCCCATATTTCTCAAAGGTTTTGTTTATTCCTTTCATTCTTTTTTTCTATTCTTCTCTGCATGTCTTCTTTCAGAAATACAAACTTCAAGCTCTGAGTTTCTTTCCTCATTAATACTTGTGATTGCATTATGAAATTTTTGTATTGTGTTTTACAGTGCTATCGGGTTGGTTAGGCTCCTCTCTATCCTGGCTAATTTGTTTGTCAGCTCCTGCAATATTATATTGTAATTTTTAGCTTTCTTGTATTGAGTTAGAGCATGCTCCTTTAGATCAGTGAAGTTCATTTTTATCCACATTCTGGGGTCTACTTCTGTTATTTCAGGGATCACAGCCTCACCCTTATTCTGAACTCTTGCTGGAGAAGTAGTGTGGTCATTTGGGAGAGGGAGAGCACCCTGATTTTTGAGTTTTTAGTATTCTTGTTGTGATTCTCACCTTTGTGTGCCTATCTATCTTTAATCTTTGAGGTTGCTGGCCTTTGAATGAGATTTTTGTTTGTTTCTCTTCCTTTTAACTGTTTGGCCATTTTGTGTGGGGCTGCTGTAGTTTGTTGGGCATCTGCTCCACTCTCTTGTCACCTCGGATTTTCCAGTATCTGGGGGTATCACCAGTGAAGGCTGTGAAACAAGAAAGATAGCAGCCCACTCCCTTCCCTGGGAGCTCCATCCCAGGGCGGGTGCAGACATGTTGAGGGCTCGAACACACCTGTAGGAGGTGACTGGAAACCCCAGTTGGTAGGTCTCACCCAGCTAGGAGGAATAGGATTGGGGACCCACTTAAGCCATCTAGCCCCACTTTCATAGATCAGCCATGCTGTGCGGGGTACCATTTCTGCCCTTCAGCAGATTGGGCTCTCCAAAGCCTGGAGGCTGAAACAGCAAAGTGGCTGAAACAGCAAAGATGGTGGCCAACCCCTCTCTCTAGGAACTCTGGCCCAGGAAGTTTTTAAACCTCTGCCAGCCAGACAACATCAGTGGGAGTTGCTGGAGGCCCTGGTTGGGAAGTTCCACCCAGAGATGCAGAGCATATTAGGTCCCACTTAAAGAAGCAATCTGATCACATTATGGCAGATCCACTGTGCTATGCTGGGTGATTCCTTCTTCCCTGGGATGGTTTGGACTCTCCTAAGCCCACTGATTGTTATGGCTGAGTTCTCCAAACAACAAATATGAAGACCCACTGCTCCCAATGTGCACTGCATCCAGGAATAAATCAAAACTCTGCCTGCCGGAGAATATGGAAGGGGCTGTCTGGAGGCTCTGGTAGGAGGCCCCACTCTGAGATAAAAAAGGTATCTGGGTCCCACTTCAAGAAGTAGTCCGGCCAAACTTTGGGAGGGCCAATGTGCCGTGCTAAGGGATTTCTTCCATCTGCCATGAGTTTTTTTTTTTTTTAACTCTCCTAAACCTCCAGGCTGGAATGGCTGAGTCATCCAAACAGCAAATATAGCAGCCAGCCCCTGCCTCCAGGAACGTTGTTCCATCCCAGGTAATTGCAATGCTGTTGCTGGGGGCTGGATGGAATTCCAAGCCAGTAGGTCTTATCCTGTGAGGCGTCATGGAAGTGGGGCCCACTGATGCTGCTCAGGCCCATGGATTCAGCTTCCTTTCTAGGGGCATTTACGGAGATCCAACCTCCCACCTTGTCTGAGTTGCAGTCACCTTTGCCAGAGATCTCAGAGCCAAAGTATGTAAAGCTCCTGCGATTCTGTTTGTGTCTGAGCAGTTGTTCTGCCGGGAACACGCAGCTCTGTGTATCAGACCAAAGGCCCTGGTGGAATAAGTTTACGAGAAAATCTCCTGACCCGAGAGTTGCAAAGATCCATGGGAGAAGTGTGGTTTCTCAGGGTCACGTATTTGCTCACCACTTCCTTGGGCAGGGTAGGTTCCCTTTGGTCTGTGTTACTCCCGGGTGGGCGTTTGCCATGCCCTTCTTTTTCCCATGGGTTGAGCTGTTTCCTTCATTAGTCCCACTGCAAATATCTGGGTGTTTCAGTTGATGGTGCTGTATTTATTTTCCCTCTTTGTTTCTTTTCATGAAAGCCACACACCATAGCTACTTCTAGTCAGCCCTCTTGGCACACTTTGCTACAATATTTCAGTAGATGGTTTTTATCCTGTAGGCTGTCTCATGGTCCCATATGGCTGGCTGTAGGAGCACAAGCCTGCACCAGCAACCATGTCCATTTCAAAGGCTAAGAAGTAGGAAAGATGCAAGGTCAAAGTGGCTTGCACAGCTGCATCAGCTCCATCTGAGGAATCTCCCTGAAGTCCCATCAATACTTATGGTTACAACCAATTGTCTTGAATAGGGGTCAGAAACTATAACCTTTGTGTTTGTAAGTTGCTGTTTGAATAAAACTAAATTTCTAATTTTGTGTTTTGTTTTGTTTTGTTTTGTTTTGTTTTGTTTGATGGAGTCTCACTCTGTCACCAGGCTGGAGTGCAGTGGTGTGATTTTGGCTCACTGCAACCTCTGACTCTTGGGTTCAAGTGATTCTCCTGCCTCAGCCTTTCAAGTAGCTGGGATTACAGGTGTGCTTGCATCACCATGCCCAAAATGCTGGGATTACAGGCATGAACCACCACACCCAGCCCTGACTCTCTGTTTTTGAGTGAAAGCAAAATTAAAACTGTGGCAATGACAAGTGCTCTTTTTCTACACTAAATTCAAACGTAAACAGAGGAAGATGGAGGTTTTCTCAGGTGAAGTGGGCACTCATTTTTCAAACAAAGCCTTTTTTGGTGATTATTTATTTTCAGATCAGATGGGAAAAAAATCTGGGTTCTTGTAAGCACTCCCTTTATGACCAAATGTTAGTCAAGCTTAACTGAACCCTCTTTTTGACTAAGCCAACCTTGACTTCTTGCCCTGCTCCTGGTTTGAGAGGCTCACTTTCATAAATCCTGCTAATACTGTTTAGTAAAAATCCACATATCCCTTATGTCTACTAATATCGTGATTCCCTTTCTTTGATATTTAAGTCCTTAGCCAACCTGTAACCAGGCTTCTGCTATAAAAAGTTCCTCTTCCTCCTTTGGTATTTTATCAAATGTTTTTCAATAATTCTTATCCACTGATTTATTCTGCTTATTGACTATAAATTCTTCGTTGTCTGTGTTCAGAGTTATGATCAATTTCTGAACTGAACCCTATTACGATGGCCATAAAATCTACTACAATAGTATTAATGTCTTTCTTCCCAATTTTTAACAAACATCAGAAATTTTTATTTCACAGTTTCCCAACAGTATGTTTGAGTATAAAAACAGTTTTCAGTTTGCCCCCAAAAATGATGTGATCCACTGTGTAGATGTGTATGCCTGATCCTTGTGTCCAAAAAAGTATGTTTTTATTTAAATGGGGTGAGGGTGACAGATTATAGAGCCAATGTTTTCCTAAAATGCTGAGTCATAATTGAAACCATACAAATCAAGAATATAGAATGCTTGGACTCCAACATTTTTAACCCTGAGGATATTTTGATGTCCATAATTTATATTACTGTGAAAATAATGCACAAGAAAGAAAACTGATAGCTCTCCCTCTCCCTCTCCCTCTCCCTCACCCTCTCCGTCTCCCCACGGTCTCTCTCTCCCTCTCTTTCCACGGTCTCCCTCTGATGCCGAGCCGAAGCTGGATGGTACTGCTGCCATCTCGGCTCATTGCAACCTCCCTGCCTGATTCTCCTGCCTCAGCCTGCCGAGTGCCTGCGATTGCAGGCGCGCGCCGCCACGCCTGACTGGTTTTCGTATTTTTTTGGTGGAGACGGGGTTTCGCTGTGTTGGCCGGGCTGAGCTCCTAACCGCGAGTGATCCGCCAGCCTCGGCCTCCCGAGGTGCCGGGATTGCAGACGGAGACTCGTTCACTCAGTGCTCAATGGTGTCCAGGCTGGAGTGCAGTGGCGTGATCTCGGCTCGCTACAACCTCCACCTCCCAGCAGCCTGCCTTGGCCTCCCAAAGTGCCGAGATTGCAGCCTCTGCCCGGCCGCCACCCCGTCTGGGAAGTGAGGAGCGTCTCCACCTGGCCGCCCATCGTCTGGGATGTGAGGAGCCCCTCTGCCTGGCTGCCCAGTCTGGAAAGTGAGGAGCGTCTCTGCCCGGCCGCCATCCCATCTAGGAAGTGAGGAGCGCCTCTTCCCGGCCGCCATCACATCTGGGAAGTGAAGAGCGTCTCTGCCCGGCCGCCCATCATCTGAGATGTGGGGAGCACCTCTGTCCTGCCGCCCCGTCCGGGATGTGAGGAATGTCTCTGCCCGGCCGCCCCGTCTGAGAAGTGAGGAGACCCTCTGCCTGGCAAACACCCCGTCTGAGAAGTGAGGAGCCCCTCCGCCCGGCAGTCACCCCGTCTCGGAAGTGAGGAACATCTCCGCCTGGTAGCCACCTCGTTCGGGAGTGAGGTGGGGGGGTCAGCCACCCGCCTGGCCAGCCACCCCATGCGGGAGGGAGGTGGGGGGTCAGCCGCCCGCCCGGCCAGCCGCCTCCTCCGGGAGGGAGGTGGGTGGGTTAGCCCCCCGCCTGGCCAGCCGCCCCATCCGGGAAGTGAGGGGCGCCTCTGCCCGGCAGCCCCTGATGGGAAGTGAGGAGCCCCTCTGCCCGGCCAGCCGCCCCGTCTGGGAGGGAGGTGGGGGATCAGCCCCCCGCCCGACCAGCCACCCCTTCTGGGGGGGAGGGAGGTGGGCGGGTCAGCCCCCCGCCCGGCCAGCCGCCCCGTCCGGGAGGTGAGGGGCGCCTCTGCCCGGCCGCCCCTACTGGGAACTGAGGAGCCCCTCTGCCCGGCCAGCCACCCCATCCGGGAGGGAAGTGGGGGGGTCAGTCCCCCGCCCGGTCAGCCGCCCCGTCCGGGAGGGAGGTGGGGGGTCAGCCCCCCGCCCGGCCAGCCGCCCCGTCCGGGAGGGAGGTGAGGGGGTCAGCCCCTCGCCCGGCCAGCCGCCCTGTCCAGGAGGGAGGTGGGGGCTCAGCCCCCCGCCTGGCCAGCCGCCCCGTCCGGGAGGTGAAGGGCGCCTCTGCCCAGCCGCCCCTACTGGGAAGTGAGGAGCCCCTCTGCCCTGCCACCACCCCGTCTGGGAGGTGTACCCAACAGCTCATTGAGAATGGGCCATGATGACAATGGCGGTTTTGTGGAATAGAAAGGGGGGAAAGGTGGGGAAAAGATTGAGAAATCGGATGGTTGCCGTGTCTGTGTAGAAAGAGGTAGACATGGGAGACTTTTCATTTTGTTCTGTACTAAGAAAAATTCTTCTGCCTTGGGATCCTGTTGATCTGTGACCTTACCCCCAACCCTGTGCTCTCTGAAACATGGGCTGTATCCACTCAGGGTTGAATGGATTAAGGGCGGTGCAAGATGTGCTTTGTTAAACAGATGCTTGAAGGCAGCATGCTCCTTAAGAGTCATCACCACTCCCTAATCTCAAGTACCCAGGGACACAAACACTGCGGAAGGCCACAGGGTCCTCTGCCTAGGAAAACCAGAGACCTTTGTTCACTTGTTTATCTGCTGACCTTCCCTCCACTATTGTCCTGTGACCCTGCCAAATCCCCCTCTGCGAGAAACACCCAAGAATGATCAATTAAAAAAAAAAAAGAAAACTGATAATGCTTAAAATTAAACATGGTGCAACGTATCACTGACTAAAAACTGATATAAGAAAACATTATTCCAAAAAACATTTGGGTATCCACCACTTAACCCAGGAAAGTAGACCGTGTAGAAATAATGGTCCCTACAGACAATTTGTAGAAGCAGAATCTATAAATTATGATGTGAAAAATTCAGGTAATTTTTGTTTAAATATAGTGATCCTGATAAAAATTCAATTGAATTAAAAATTAGAGAAGATTAACTTGAATTAGTTATGTTTTTATAAAATATAAATTATGAAGTTAAAACGTAATATATAAGTATGCTCTGGAAAACACATTCTCAAATGAATAAAATTTCTTTTTATTGGATTAGTTGAATGTTTGATGTTATCTGTTTATTAAACCCAAGGGGATATCACCACCGATCCCACAGAAATACAAACTACCATCAGAGAATACTATAAACACCTCTATGCAAATAAACTAGAAAATCTAGAAGAAATGGATAAATTCCTTGACACATACACCCACCCAAGACTAAACCAGGAAGAATTTGAATCTCTGAATAGACCAATAACAGGCTCTGAAATTGAGGCAATAATTAATAATTAGCTTTCCAACCAGAAAAAGTCCAGGACCAGATGGATTCACAGCCAAAATCTACCAGAGGTACAAGGAGGAGCTGGTACCATTCCTTCTGAAACTATTCCAATCAATAGAAAAAGAGGGAACCTCCCTAACTCATTTTATGAGGACAGCATCATCCTGATACCAAAGCCTGGCAGAGACACAACAAAAAAAGAGAATTTTAGACCAATATCTCCGATGAAGATCTATGCAAAAATCCTCAATAAAATACTGGCAAACCGAATCCAGCAGCATATCAAAAAGCTTATCCACCATGATCAAGTGGGCTTCATCTCTGGGATGCAAGGCTGGTTCAACATACACAAATCAACAAACGTAATCCACCTTATAAACAGAACCAATGACAAAAAAACCATGTGATTATCTTGAGATATCAAGAGATGCAGAAAAGGCCTTTGACAAAATTCAACAACTCTTCCTGCAAAAAACTCTCAATAAATTAGGAATTGATGAGACGTATCTCAAAGTAATAGGAGCTATCTCTGACAAAGCCATAGCCAATATCATACTAAATGGGCAAAAGCTGGAAGCATTCCCTTTGAAAACAGGCACAAGACAGGGATGCCCTCTCTCACCACTCCTATTCAACACAATGTTGGAAATTCTGGCCAGGGCAATCAGGAAGGAGAAGGAAATAAAGGGTATTCAATTAGGAAAAGAGGAAGTCAAATTGTCCCTGTTTGCAGATGACATGATTGTATATCTAGAAAACCCCATCATCTCAGCCCAAAATCTCCTTAAGCTGATAGGCAACTTCAGCAAAGTCTCAGGATACAAAATCAGTGTGCAAAAATCATTAGCATTCTTATACACCAATAACAGACAAACAGAGAGCCAAATCGTGAGTGAACTCCCATTCACAATTGCTTCAAAGAGAATAAAATACCTAGGAACCCAACTTACAAGGACGTGAAGGACCTCTTCAAGGAGAACTACAAACCACTGCTCAATGAAATAAAAGAGGATACAAACAAATGGAAGAACATTCCATGCTCATGGGTAGGAATAATCAATATCGTGAAAATGGCCATACTGCCCAAGGTAATTTATAGATTCAATGCCATCCCCATCAAGCTACCAAAGACTTTCTTCACAGAATTAGAAAAAAACTACTTTAAAGTTCATAAGGAACTAAAAAAGAGCCCTCATTGCCAAGTCAATCCTAAACCAAAAGAACAAAGCTGGAGCCATCACGCTACCTGACATCAAACTATACTACAAGGCTACAGTGACCAAAACAGCATTGTACTTGTACCAAAACAGAGATATAGACCAATGGAACAGAACAGAGCCCTGAGAAATAATGCCACATATCTACAACCATCTGATCTTTGACAAACCTGACAAACACAAGAAATGGGGAAATGATTCCCTAGTTAATAAATGGTGCTGGGAAAACTGGCTAGCCGTATGTAGAAAGCTGAAACTGGATCCCTTCCTTGCACCTTATACATAAATTAATTCAAGATGGATTCAAGACTTAAATGTTAGACCTAAAACCGTAAAAACCCTAGAAGAAAACCTAGGCAATACCATTCAGGACATAGGCATGGGGAAGGACTTCATGTCTAGAACACCAAAAGCAATGGCAACAAAAGCCAAAATTGACAAATGGGATCTAATTAAACTAAGGAGCTTCTGCACAGCAAAAGAAACTACCATCAGACTGAACAGGCAACCTACAGAATGGGAGAAAGTTTGTGCCATCTACTCATCTGACGAAGGGCTAATATCCAGAATCTACAATGAACTCAAACAAATTTACAAGAAAAAAACAACCCCATCAAAAAGTGGGTGAAGGATATGAAGACCCTTCTCAAAAGAAGACATTTATGCAGCAAAAAGACACATGGAAAAATGCTCATCATCACTGGCCATCAGAGAAATGCAAATCAAAACCACAATGAGATACCATCTCACACCACTTAGAATGGCGATCATTAAAAAATCAGGAAACAACAGGTGCTGGAGAGGATGTGGAGAAATAGAAACACTTTTACACGGTTGGTGGGACTGTAAACTAGTTCAACCATTGTGGAAGTCAGTGTGGCGATTCCTCAGGGCTCTAGAACTAGAAATACTATTTGACCCAGCCATCCCATTACTGGGTATACACCCAAGGGAGTATAAATCATGCTGCTATAAAGGCACAAGCACAAGTATGTTTATTGCGGCACTGTTCACAATAGCGAAGACTTGGAACCAACCCAAATGTCCAACAATGATAGACTGGATTAAGAAAATGTGGCACATATACACCATGGAACAAAATGCAGCCATAAAAAATGAAGAGTTCATGTCCTTTATAGGGACATGGATGAAGCTGGAACCATCATTCTGAGCAAACTATCCAAGCACAAAACACCAAACACCGCATGTTCTCGCTCATAGGTGGGAATTGACCAAAGAGAACATATGGGCAGAAGAAGGGGAACATCACACTCCGGGGCCTGTTGTGGGGTAGGGTGAGGGGGGACGGATAGCATTTGGAGATATACCTAATGTTAAATGGCGAGTTACTGGGTGCAGCACACCAACATGGCACATGTATACATATGTAACAAACCTGCATGTTGTGCGCATGTACCGTAAAAGTTAAAGTATAATAAAAAAATAAAATAAAATAAAATTTAATTAGAAATGAAAAAAGAAAATTCTACAACTTGAAACTAGATAGAAGATAGATCAGAAACAAAAATAGGAGTAAAGTGTGACTTTCTTCTCACTGTTTGATTATTATAGAGGCATTTTTATTTCATTAAAATCTTATATTTCTGGGGCTAGTTAATGTTATGATATTTTATTTTTAAATAGTTTTATTTTATTTACTTCAGTTAATTTGTAATTTTTGAGGATGCATTGTAGGTGTATATACTTATGGGGTTCCTGAGATGTTTTGATGCGGTCTCGCAATGCATAATAATCACATCATAGAGAATGGGATACCCACCCACTCAAGCATTTATTCTTTGGGTTAAAATCTGATTATTCCTTCTTAGCTAGTTTAAAATGTACAATTACATTATTATTGACCAGAGTCATCTCGTTGTGCTATCAAATAATATGTCTTATTTATTCTATTTTTTTGTACACATTAACAGTGCCCACCTTTCCCCCAGCCTCCACTGTCTTTCTTAGCCTCTGAAAACCATCCTTCTGCTCTCTATGTCCGTGAATTCAGTTGTATTAATTCTTCCATCCCACGAATAAGTGAGAACGCACAGTGTTTATCTTTCTGTGCCTGGCTTATTTCACTTAACATACTCTTCTCTTTTATCCATGTTGTCGTAAAAGACAAAATCTCATTTTTATGGCTGAATACTACTCCAATGTATATATGTACTACTTTTTTTATACATTCATTCATTTGTAGACAGTTTGCTTTCAAATCTTAGCTATTGTAAACAGTGCAGCAACAAGCCGATTTTCTTTCTTTTGTGTCAATGCCCATCACTGGGATTGTTGGGTTGCATTGTAGCTGTGGCAGCTCAATTTTTAGCTTTTTGAGGAACCTCCACACTTTTTTATAGTGGTTATACTAATTTACATTCCCACCAAGAGTGCACTAAAGTTTTCTCCACATCCTCGTCAGCACTTGTTATTGTCTGTCTTTGGGATATAAGACATTTTAACTGGAGTGAGATAATATCTTATTGTAGTTCTGATTTGCATTTCTCTGAGGTTTAATGATGTTTAGCAACATTTATATGTCTGTTTGCCATTTGTATGTTTTCTTTGTAGAAATGCCTCCTCCTGGCTGGGTGTTTCATGCCTATAATCTCAGCACTTTGGGATGCCGAGATGGAAGGATCACCTGAGGTCAGGAGTTTGAGATCAGCCTGGCCAACATGGCTAAACCCAGTCTCCACTAAAAATATAAAAATTTGTCAGGCATGTGTTCTGCATGGGAGATGCATGAGGAAGAAGAAAAGGCACACACAATACTTTTAAGGGTAAACATCTTTTGTCTCAATTATATGGCAATACAGATATAATAAGTAAATGATATGATAAGCAAATTGATATGAGAAGGGAAAAAATATATATATTTTTTATATATATAAATATATATATTATATATATAAAATTATATATGTATTTATTTACATTTATTTATTTAAATAATTATGTACATAATTATATAATTATTTTTATTTACAGTTATATGTATAAATTATATACATATATATGTATATATATATATACACATATGTTTACACACAGCAGACTACAGAGTATGGAGGAAGCATCACCAGACAGAGAAGCAATAGCCTGGGCTCCAGAGTCAGACACTACACTCACCAGACTACGGAGGATTCATCAACAGACCGGGAAGCAACAGCCTGGGCTACAGAGTTGGCCCCTCATCCCTGCAGAGATGGGGAGAGGTCTCAGGAAGCTCTAGTGCCATCTGGGACCCTAGCTCTTTTTGTAAGGAGTTCTTTGGCATAAGGCCGGGTAACGAGGACTCTTCACTACTGGGCTCAAAAACCACAAAAATGTCAAATTTTTGGCGAATGTCTGTTGTTTTTCAATAACTAACATACAGGAACAGATTAAAATAGAAATTTCTCTGAGACACTGGTGGATGAACGCCTGAAGAAACTCACAGAACCTGTTCCGGGACTTGGTGACCATTGTTTGTGTCCATGTTCAATTGAGATAAAATTGAATATTTAACTTTTCTTCCAAATTTGGCTTCAATTTGATACTCAATTGTAGGAAAATACCCTTACAGATACTTGGGGAAAGCATAGTTGATACAGATTACAGATTCAGGGTAAGCACAGGAGAATTAAAAGCAGAGTTAATGAAAACCACACCCACCATGGCTGTGCAAGGAGAGTCGTAGTGTGAGAATTGTCAGGGATATACACACAACATTCGGTATGCAGTAAGGTACAGGGACGATTCTCCAACGTAGCCCATTTTTGGTGGCCTCTGGCAATTCCACGCATAGCCAACATTGACTGCAGTTGGCTTCTGTTGCAGTGGTGGCTATGCAGATGATGAATTTATTCTTGGCATCAGACACAGAGACACAGGTACTGACCATTAGTAAACAGGTTATTCTCTGTAATAACCAAAACAGAGGGGAACATAATATTGTTTTTCATCTTTAGGAAACTGTACTATGCCTTCAGTTTCTTCTCCCATAGCTACAAGTTCACCAGCCATAGGAGTAGGATGTGATGGACGCTGTACTCATATTTTGGCTCCAGGATTTAAGCTACGTGTACCAGTGCGTCTGAATCTCCCAGTTCTGTATGTAGCCTCTGTTGGGGCAGAGACATCCTCAGGGGTTAATTGTTGACAAGGTACCACTAAAAATTGAGGAACCCACATCTGCAGTTTTACAGCAAAAGATTCTCGAGTGATATTGTATAAAATGACCTTTAACTCTCCCCTGTAACCACTCTGAATTATACCACCATACATTATGCCGTTCATTGCAAGACTTGAATGTGTTTTAATCCATTCATCCGCATTCAAATTTGCAACTATGGTGGAAATTTTGGCCTGTTGATCTGTCTACTGATTAAATAGTCTGTCGAGAAAGCAGAGACACATGAGCATCAACATGAAAAACAGTGATAATGATAGTGTGCACCAGGATTCAGGTATCTTCCCAGGAGTGTTTTCCCTCTTTATGCCTAATTAACCATTTGTAAAGATAAAATAGAGAATGAAGGTGGTGTCGGTGAGATTGGACATCAAAAGACACAAAAGGAATGTGACATGGTGACCTGAGAAAGGAATAGAGAGAGAAATTAAAATAGACAAAAAGGGGAATCAGCAAGGAGATGGAGGAGGCAGAATAGAAGAGGGGACTCAACAAACAGGAGCAGTTGGTGCAACAGAGGGTGCATCGCATACTTGTACGACGCTTCTTTCATTTTCTAGTTACTTTTCCTTTTAAATTTGTGTCAGATTTAGTTAAGGTGTCAACGTTTTTTTAAATCTTTTTATATACTGAAAATATTCTTTGCTGTTTAGTAAATAACTTTCAGTATTTCAATTTGCTCTTGATAAGAGTATTAATTTTTAAATCAACAGACAACATTCAGTAAAACTAGTTAGTCTAATATGCAGCAGCTTCTTCTCTTCCACATGTGATTTGGGAAATTAATGCACTGTGAGACGAAATTTCCAAGTCTATGATGTCTTTAAGTTCCCTTTGCTCTTTTTTTTTTTTAGCAGATATTGAAGAATGGGCTGGCTGGGCATGAAACTTTCTTCCACCAAGACCATCTTTTCATGATAAATACATTGTCCTGAGTTATTTTTATAGCTAATCCTCTTTCTTGTTTCCAATTGTCAATTATTACATATTTTCAACTTTATAATTTTGGAAGTTCGATGTGATTTCTCAAAAAAAAGAAAGAAAAAAAGAAAATGCTTGAGTTTAATGTGATTAGAATAACAGAGAAGTTTCTCCTGGTCAAGAGTATAAAATTTGGTCTGAGATCTTTAGCCAGTGCTGGTGACTCTCTGCTGGCCTGTCCTCATCCTATCCCTCCCTTCCCAAACATACACTTACACAGTCACAAGGCAGCTGAGGAGAGGAGAGCACAGACTTTAAACTCTGTATGTGTATATATTTTAAGATAGAACCTTGCTCTGTTGCCCAGGATGGAGTGTAGTGGCACTATCTCGGCTCACTGTAGGCTCCACCTCTGAGTTCAGGTGATTCTCGTGCCTCAGTCTCCCAAGTAGCTGGGATTACAGGTGCCTACCACTATGCCCAGCAAATTTGTGTGTTTTTAGTAGAGTCAGGGTTTTGCCATGTTCCCCAGGTTGGTATCATACTCTTAGCCTCAAGCGAGCCACTGGCCTTGGCCTCCCAAAGTGCTGGAATTACAGGCATGAGCCACAATACCCGGCCTGTCTTTATATGATTTCTTTGGCTGTAAAGAGTATCAGTGGTGTCTGTACCTTTCTCAGTGGCTTAGGGTATCGTTTTTAGCAGAGGCTGTGGTAAAGTTTTGCTGGGAATAGGGGCACCAGAGGTTTAGTCATTGGATCCCAGTGGTGGCAGTGGTGAGCTTACCATGCCTGCTTTTGGGCCTCAAGGCAGTTATGCTGGCAGCAGTGTTAACAGGTCCAGGAAGACTAATTATTTGGCCTTCATGTGATTTGCTCAGGTGTCAGCAGTGAGCAAGGTGGGTGGGCAGCTTCTTGAGCCCCTGGACAGTGGTTATGGCATGGATGATGGCAGTAGCAACGACAAGAAAAACCTCTGACTCCCAAGCGTTCCATGCTGGTGTTGGTGTTTGCTGTGATGGGCTGGGAAGGCCAGTTTCTAGGAACACAGGTGGTGTATATATGTGGGTATCAGCTGCGTTAGTAGCTCCAGGTTCAGTGAGTCCATCCTCAGGTCTCAGAGAAGAGTGCTCAGGTGCCAATCTTGTTAGACTTCACTGGACTGAAGTCCATATTTTAAGCACTATCTGGCTCCACACACTCATTGGCCGTTCTTATCATCACTCTGAGCCCATTAACCCCGCAGCAGAAAAACATCAGGAAAGTTTTTAATATTTCTTCTTTGGGGCACAGTATGCAAGGAAAGGAATTGTATTAAGAGATGAAGTAAGTACTCTTATTAGAAAAAGGAACACTTTGGGGCCAGAAATGGACCAGTGTCCAAGGCATGCAGAAAGCAGGAAATAATTACCGGGTCATGGGATGGAACTATGGAGAGTGACTAAAGTTTCAAGATCATAAACCAGTCTTTAGTTGCTCCTAATTTAATTTAATGCAATCCTCACTCTTTGTCATCATTTGGTTTTAATGTATAAAGCTATGGGGTCTGCTTATTGTATGTTTTGTAGTATAATTTGGAAATTAATCTATCAGCTCTTTTTTCTCAGCCCAGTTGGTGTCTTGTCAACTCCTCTGCACGAATTGCTTCTTGTTTTCTCACAGTCCAGCCCTATGTTCTCATGAGCTGTGACCCTGGGGTATCCAGGCTCCGGTTTGCCTGCTGTGGAAAAAGTGCAGCTTTCTAAGCTGGTCACATATCTCTACATTAAATGTACATTGTCTTTTTAAAGCAATGTTCAGACATTCATATATTCTTTCTTCCTGAGGTTTAAGCACCACAAGCAGCAGTCATATAATGGAGAGATTCTCAACAACAGAGTGAGTCTCTGCCATAATTGGATTTATTATACATTAGAAACAGCAGTTACATACTAAATGTTTTACAAAGTGTTTTTTATAATTTTTATTTCCTTAAATATTGCAAATAGAAAATTTAGAGGTCCAACATTTATTTAAAATTTGGCTCTTGTAATTTGCAGTGGAAAGCTTATATGAGTATCTACCTCTAAACCAATTAATTAAAAATGCTCTGGGGTTAACTGGGCACCAAAGTATAAGAAAATTTTAATTAAGTGAAAAAGTCTAAGTAATGACCAACTAAGGAAATAAAAAGGAAATTATACTTTCAACCCCCTTTCCCCCAGTTGCTCTATGCTCTATTTTTTTTCTATTGCCAAGTTGTACAATTTTATTTTTGTCCTTGATAATTGTACTTTATTTTAACGTGACTAGATTATATTTTATTTTATTTTATTTTATTTTATTTTATTTTATTTTGTTTTATTTTATTTTAATGTGACTAGATTTTGCCTCACTCCAGGCTGGAGTACGGTAGCATGATTATAGTTCACTGTAACCTCAACTTCCTGAGTTCAAGTAATCCTCCTGCCTCAGCCTTCTAAGTAGTTGAGACCACAGTTACATGCTATAATGTCAAAATAATTTTTAAAACATTTTCAGTGACAAGGTCTTGCTTAGGCTTGTCTCAAACTTCTGGCCTTAATTGATCCTCTGGCCTCAGCATCCCTAGCAGCTGAAATTTCAAGTGTGAGCCACTGAGCCCAGCTCTTTATTTTTATAAATATTTATCTCCTTAGTTTTTTCTGAAGCATTTTCAACACCTTCACCTGAACTTTCAGGCTTTCAACTCACAGTTGATTTTATCCATTTTGCTATTCATCCTATTTATTCTATTGCTTGTATACTTTTGTAACATATTTAATATTTTGAGTTTTAAATTCTTGCTACTTATATGTATGTATTTTTAGTTGTCTCTTTTGCAAGGCTGCGATTCTCTCTAGAGAAGAGAATGGGCTCTATGCTTTCTTGAGAAAAGCATTTTATAACATGGGAGTAAAACAGACCCTGTGGAAAATAAAATAAAAGGCATTTTAATCATGATTTTTTATAAATTGCTATTTGGGAGACACAAATTTAGCAAGAAGCTATATCATGTTCCATTCAGATGAGGTTAGGGAGGGACTTATAAAGTTTTACTGCAAGTTTACACAAGTGAAAGATTTTAGCACAGTCTATGATGGACAATGTTTGATTGCCAGCTTAGACTGTATCTAGGCAATCATCAGCTTAATTCAGCACAGCTTTCTCTTCAGGAGGTTTGTGATCGGGCTCAGTATAAACAATCCAAGTCAAATGCAGTTGCCTTTTTAGGACATCTGTAATTTTCCCAGTTCGAACAGGTAAAATTCCACCTGGGTGTGTATGAGTATTAATTCAACTCCTCATGTCCTCCTAGTTGTCTTTAGAGACCTCTCAAATAACTATCTCCATTTTGGATTTCTTTTAATTAGAAATAAAGAGAGCAAGGATTATCACTGGTTGGGAATATAGAAAAATAGTGCCCACCTGTGATTCATCGGACCCCAGTCAGAGAGAAAAGGCCAAGATATGCCTGACAGAAAGGCTTGAGGACCTTTAGGTAATTTATTCCTCAAAAAGAATTGGTTCACACCTGTAATTCCAGCACTTTGGAAGGCCAAGGCGGGCAGATTATTGGAGGTCAGGAGTTCAAGACCAGCCTGACAAACATAGTGAAACTAAAAATACAAAATTTACTAAACATACTAAACGTACAAAAATTAGCTGGACATGAAGCTGGGTGCCTGTAATCTCAGCTACACAGAAGCCTGAGGCAGCAGAATCTCTTGAACCCAGGAGGTGGAGATCGCAGTGAGCCAAGATTGTACCAATGTACTCCAGCCTGGGTGACACAGCAAGACTCTGTCTCAGAAAGAAAAAATTGGATAAAGAATTGCCCTAATGCTGGGAATTTTACCTCATAGGTAGTAAAAATATTTACAGAATAAGGCCCAGGTGTAGCCATAAAGTGGCATTACAATTCTTTCATTCTAGATAAGAAACTAACTTAAAAAAAGAATAGAAATTCTAAGGTAAGAGACAAAACTCTGGGAGGATTTACATCTAAGGTAAAGGCTCAATCACAGGACACCAGAAGAAGATTGAGAATGCAGCTTCCTTTCTGCCCTGCATCCATTGTCAATAGACTTTCCCTGGCCTTCTCCTTTTGACTTTGGTCATTTTATTTTATAATGTTTTTTTCCACATAGACCTGATGCAACTCCAGAGTTGGAAGAAAAAACAACAATGTCCTAATAGTTGCTTAGAGGAAACCTCAGCAAGTGAAGCAGAAGTTGATTTATTTTTTGTAAAATCATAGAAAGGTATTCATCCTCCTGATCTCTGCAACTGCTTTTTAAAGAAATCTATATTTCCAAGACTGTCGCTATGCTTTGTGAAAATACCTTCAAATTATTAATTCTGCAAGTTCGAATGATCTATCTTCACTCTTTCCTTGGGTTAATATTAAAATGAACATATGCTCTGAGAAAAATGGACCTGGGTGTCTTATCCGGCAGCCAGAAACTATGACTGCTTTTCTCTTCTTCCTCATACATTATGCTGCCGACTCTTTAGGATTTCATAATTCAAGGAGAAATGTTAGAGTCTGTATCTCATTTAAGCTTACACAAGTGAAATAAAAAGAACCACAACCACAACTCCGATTTTGTAGTAGAATGAGATTTTCATATAATATTCGACTCTAGCATTTACTATTTACGAAAAATAAATATTTCCCCTCCTCTCTGGATAAACACATTCTGGGGAAGAGCTCTCAGGGAGATGGAGAAGAGCTGTCTCTTCTTCTTCTGATTTTCAGTTGTTCCAGCAAATGTCTCACAATATTCTTTACATTGAAGCTGCAGGAAATGAACCAAAACACCAAGTGCCTTAGTTGGGCCCTGCTGCTGAGGAAGAGGCTGTGTTTGAGCTGGTCTCAGTTTGCCCTGTCACTGACATAGGACTCTGTACTGGGGCCCGGCTACTAGATGGAAGGGCTAAATTATGTTGGGACTTCCCTCAGAATTATGGCTCACCCTCCTCCCTCATCTGCATTCTGAGCTCCAGGCACTGTGTAGAGCACTCTGTTCATTGACAGTTCCCATGTATCCCTGATATGTGAGTCATCAGCACGGCTGCACTTCACAGAGGACAAAATGAAATCGAGGGGAGGAGAGGCAACTCTCGACACCTGCAGGACTGGTCAGTGGTGGAGCCGGGATCCCAGAGTCAGCTTTTAGGATCACTTCACTCACATTAAGCCCAAAACTTCACTGAGCCTTTTAAAATAAAGGGATACTGATTGTCCCACCTCACAGCCCTCGGGTAAAGCTAGATCAGGCTCAATGTGGAGGGCACTGAGCACAGCACAAGTTGCATGTGAGTGGGGACTGTCATTGTTTCCTGGGGCCCTCAGGTTTGGAGGTTTCCTGCCATGTAGTGACAGCTGGCTTAGGGGGCATTAGGGGAGGGGCTTCCCCACAGTTTGTTGCAACAGCCACCTGGCTCAACCAGGAATGTTCCAAAGTCATCCAGATAATTTCCCAGATGACCACTCAGTCATGTGGTGTCCTACTACCCATGGGATACAGCCTAAACTTTTTATCATAGGAGGAATAATTTCTAGTGTCTGACAGCACAGTAGGATAACTACAGTTAGCACTAATTTTTAATATATTTTAAAATAGATAGAAGAGATGGCTTTAAATTCTCCCAACACAAAGGAAATTTTTCAAACACAAAGAAAATAATATCCATGTTTGAGGTGATGGATATTCTAATTACCCTGATTTGATCACTGTACATTGCATGCATGTATCAAAATATCACTCATGCACCACAAATATATACTATTATTATGTATCAACAAAGGGAAAATTGCTAAAAGTGGCTCCCAACTAAAAAAAAAAAAGTCAATTTCTAAGTCACAGAAAAAGATGCTCACTTTAAATTGTAAGTTCTGTGACAGAATGTAAAGGTTTGCATAGTCACTTTTACAGTCCCAGACTATCATGCATAGAACTGCCTGGCCCCGTGTGTATGTACACACAGAGATACAACCATGCTTCTCTAGTGGGGCATTTTTTTCTCCCTGAAACATTTGCCAATGTTTGGAAACCTGTCTTGCTGTCTGGTTATTTTAGTAAATTGATTATGACTGTAATTAGGCCCAATTTAGTGACTGTAATTAGGCCCACTTGCTGTCTGCACATAGATGATCAGGGGCAAGTAGTCGAAGATATAGTTAAAGACATGATGAAACTGGCACATGTGCCAGTACAAGTGTGGCACCGATTTGACACTGAGGCCATGTTTGAAAATGGTTCCCGGCACTAGAAGGATTTAAAACTCTTATAATGGAAACTATAGTAGTAATAGGAACCTGCTTACTGATCTCTTGCTTACTAGCTGTACTCATTCAAGTGGTAAAAGTTTTCATGGCAACTCTAGTTCACCAGAACGCTTCAGCACGAGTGTACTACATGAATCACTATCAATCTGTGATAGAGGAAGACATAGGTAGTGAGGAAGAAGGTGAGAACTCCCACTAATAAAATGAGTGAGAGTCTCAAAGGGGGAAAATAAGGGAGGAGACCAAACCTCATATTGTCTTATACCCAATTTCTGCCTCCAAAGAAAGAAGAAGTAAAAACTAGAAGGCAGAAATGAAATCCACAAGCAGACAGCCCAGCGCCACACCCTGGGCCTGGTAGTTAAAGGTCAACCCCTGACCTAATCGGTTATTTGCATAAAAAATGCACTGTGAAGATCCCTGTCCTGTTCAGTACCTTTCTAATTACCAGTGTATGCAGCCCCCAGTCACATACCCACTGCTTGCTCAATAGATCGTGACCCTCTCATGCGGACCCCCTTAGAGTTGTGAGCCCTTAAAAGGGACAGGAATTGCTCACTCGGAGGGTTCAGCTCTTGGGAAAGAAGTCTTGCTGAAGCTCCCAGGTGAATAAACACCTTCTTTCTTTAACTCAGTGTCCAAGGGGTTTTGTCTGCCGCTCTTCCTGTTACATTGGGAGAGGCCAATGTGGGCAGCGACATGGGGAGGCACAGATCCCTTAGTGGTGGCTGTGTGCTCTGAGGCGAATGTGGGGAAAATCAGACCTAAGATGCTTCATATGGCTGATAGTACCAGCTTTACAGCTGCAGCAGTCTGCGACAGGGGAAGGCATGGTCCTGGCTAAGCAGCATCTGAAACTCCCGCAATAGGACCAGGTCTGGTGGACTCAAGAGTGAAAGTCAGAGTGAAAATGAACTGCAAGAGAGGAAATGAGAGTGAAAACATCAAAAGTGGCTCCTTTGAAAAGCATAATAAAGAATTTTAAAAAAAGAGTTAGAAGTGATTATAGGATGAAACTGAGTGTTCAAAAGTTAAGGACATACTGTGAATTAGAATAGCCCTGTTTTAGTGTCAGATGGCTTGCCAAAGGCACTATAGAAAAATTGGCCGTGTGTTTTAAGGTGGTGACTAGGGTCAGAGAACAGCCAGGACATTCAGACCTAGTCTTTATATTGACTCATGGCTAAATGAATGCAGCCCTGCCTAGCAGTTTACTGTAGAATGCTCGCAGCTCACGGCAAGAGAAAATCAGCTGCTCTGGCAGCTACAGAGTTAAAAGGAGACACAGAGGCTTGTAGCACCTCCCAGCCAAAAGTGAAAGTAAAATCAGCTGCCCCAGCAGCTGAAGACAAATGAAAAAGTCTCAGAAAAGGCAGAAAAACCGGTTTTGTCACAACCACAGAAAAGAATAGAGACCGCTCCTCCTTACATTCCAATCTACCCCCTTTACCAAGGTAACTGTCCCTAAGGAGTTAAGTTCAAATGGATACATGCTGCCAGTCTCACCCGAGAAGGTGAAATGAGAGCGAAAATCAGGCAGGCCGTCTCAGGTCTGGTCGTGCATAAGATATGCTCATGCCTCTTAAGAGGACAGGAGGACCCCCACTAGGACCCAGATGATGCAGTCCAGATTCAGCACCTACAAAGGTGCCGAGAAGCCCATCTGCAAAGGCTAAAGGATGGTAAAAGAAAAAGGCAATCAATATTTTTAAAAATCTCAGACATGCTTCAGGGTGCAGATAAAAGCACAGCAAGTTCTATGAAAGACTTTGTGAGGCATTTTTATTGTACACTCCGTTTAACCCTGAGGCTACTCAAAAATCAGTGCAGGGTGAATCCAGCACTTGTAAGGCAGACCCAAGGAGATATCAGGCATAAATTGCAGAAGTTACAAGCTCCGTAGGCGAGAATGCTACTCAGCTTATTAAAGTGACAACCAAGGTGTTAATTAACCGAGATGAGGAGGCAAAGGAAAAGGCTGATCACAGGCTTAAGAAAGGCTAACTTACTAGCAGCAGCCCTTCCGGGAAGAGGAGCTGGCTTTACAAGGAGGCATGGACGCGGGCGTGAACGTAGTCATGAAAAAGGCTAGTCTGGACAGGAGTGTGAAGGCCAGCCGAGGCTAGAGAGAGATTAATGTGCATGGTGCAAAAGGAAAGACACTGGAAGCATAAATGTCAAAGAAATAATGAAAATGATCAGGGCAATAGTAAAAGAAACAAAAAACAAACCAAAAAAACCCAAAAAAACAGAACCAAAAAATCACACACACACACCAGCCAAGGGCTACTACACGCAGAAGAAACCCAAGAACCACTGCACCTGCTGTAGAAGGCAGAATAAAAAGTGTCAGAAAAAAGCTCAAATCTCCTCTACAAGTGTCAATATTTAAGCTTTTATATAAGCCAAGAGGAAAGATGGCTTAGTCCTGAAAAAATGCAGGCTGTTTGTGCACTTTCTACTCCAACCACCCGGTGTCAAGTAAGAGAGTTTCTAAGAGCAGCAAGGTTCTGCCGCGTTTACAACCCAAATTTCTTGCTCATGGTCAAGCCATCATACCAAGCCACTAAGAGGAGGAAAAAAGGAGCCCCTCCTCTAGGAGGCCAAAGAGGAGAAGGATTTTAAAGAAATCAAAGAAGCCTTGACTCAGGCCCCAGCTTTAGGACTGCCAGATCTAACTAATCAAGCTTTTCTTCTTGTATGTGCACAAGTGAAAGGGAGGCCATAGGGGTTCTGACTCAAGCCATAAGGTCATGGCATCGCCTGGTGGCATATTTATCCAGGCAATTAGATTCTGTTGCACTTGGATGGCCTCCTTGTCTTAAAGCACTAGCAGCCACTGCCGTACTGGTGCAGGAAGCTAGTAAACTAACTTTAGAGACTGTGAATACCCTAAATCCGGCTACCTTACTCTCATCGAGTCAGTGCCAGGAGGACCGTTTCATTGTGGTGTGGACGTGGTAGATGAAGTGTTCTCAAGCCAGAGAGATTTGACAGATCAGTCCCTCAGGGACCCAAACATTGAATATTCTACTGATGGAAGCAGTTTCATACTAAAAGGAGCCCGCCAAGCTGTGTATGCAGTGGTGACTTTAGACTCAACAGTAGAGGTGCAGTCTTCATCTACAGAAACTTCTGATTAGAAAGCAGAACTAAGAGCTCTGACAAGAGTTCTCTGGCTAGCAAAAGACCAAAAGACCAATATTTATACAGGTTCCAAATATGCTTCTGCCACTTTGCATGTTCATAAGGTTATTTACAAAGAAAAAAAGAAGACTTTTAACTGCGGAAACAAAGAAATAAAGTACAAGGAAGAAATCCTACAGCTCTTAAACGCTGTATGGGCCCCAAAAGTGACGGTAGTGAAGTCCTGCAAGAGGCAGCAAAAAGCAAGAACACTAAGGGCTAAAAAAGATACGAAGGCAAAGAGGCAAAGAAGGCTGCAATGACAACTCCACCTAAAGAAGATGCCTTAGCTATGCCTCTCCTCCCGGAGATTCCCCTCCTGGAGATCCCAATCTTCACTCCAAATAACAGAGCTTGGCTTCCCCAGGAAAATAAGAACTACATTGAAAGAGGATAATACAAATTCTTCAATGGGAGGCTAGCCATACCTGAAATGGTGACCCCCAGATTTGTAAAACAATTCCACCACCGAACTCAGATTAAAAAAAAAATAAAGACATTATTAAGGCATCATTTTTATCTGCCATGGCTCATTGCTATTACTCGGGCCATTTGTAAACTGTGTTTAACTTACACTCGGAACAATCCACGACAAGATCCTACTCGGCCCATGGGAGTTCAGGAAAAAGGAGCCATGCCCTGTGAAAAACTGCTAATGGACTTCACTGAATGACCCTGAGACGGGGGCTATCAGTACATATTGGTGTTCATTTGCACCTTTTCAGGATAGCTCAAGGCCTTTCCCACCAGGACAGAGAGGGCACTAGACGTGACCAAGGCGTTAAGAGACATTGTTCCCAGATTTGGGCTGCCTCTAACTCTAAGATCAGAGAATGGACCAACATTTGTGGCTAAAATAGTTCAGGACTTAACTCGACTATTAAAAATAAAATGGAAATAACATACAGCCTACAGGTAGCAGATCTCAGGTAAAGTGGAGAGCATAAACTGGACACTCAAGCAGCTGTTGAAGAAATTTTGTCGAAAAACTCATCTGAAGTAATATCAGGTCTTGCCCATGGTCCTCTTATGAGTCAGGTGCACCCCCACCAAAAAACTGAGTATTCGCCCTCTGAGATTTTGTTCAGCTGCCCACCCCCCAGAAAAATCAGATTCAGGGTAATCTCTGTAAATTGGGAAAACTAACTTTAAGAAGGCAAATGCAGGCTTTAAGTATGGCTATACTAAAATGCATGGTTAAGTATGTAAAAAAATGCCTATAAGTCTAACAGACCCAGTACACCCTTTCAAACCTAGGGACTTCGTTTAGGTAAAAAATGGAATTCAACCACTCTAGGACCCATATACGATAGGCGCCATATTGTAATCATGTCTACTCCCACTGCTGTTAAAGTTGCAGGTGCCACACCTTGGATTCACCATAGCCATCTAAAACCAGTGACAGTAGCGAGTCCTGATGACAACCTGTGGATTAGCCAACAAGACCCAGATTGCCCCACTCGAATAGCCCTATGGCAAATCTCAGCCACCGGTAAAAAGGACAACCGCCCTGCTCTGACCACACTGGAGGCTGGTCAGTCTAAGCATGGCTGAAGCTTAAGGATTCTTCAAACTCTGCTCTAGTCACATCCCGGAAGCTGACTAGTGTACACACAGCCGAAGCTAAGAGGACCATGTCCAGATAAGTAAATGTGAATACAATTTATAACCATAGTTACAATTCTGTCAATACTGATTGTTCCGTTGTTATGTTATTACTGCAAATGCTGCAAATGTCTATGCCCAGAGGAAAGTTTTTGTGCCCATGTGTAGTGTAAGCATGTTTCTATTACATACAACAATGTTGTTACCATTTATGCTTATACTGAAAGGGGATAAATCTCTTGAAGGATGTCCATGCTGTGTACACATTACCTGGATAAAAAATACCACAGTTAAAACTCTACTGTACCATACCTACTATGAATGTACAGGAAGCAAATTAGGAATATGCATATACAACCAGACCACCTATTCAGTCTGTGACTGAGGAAATAATCAGCTATATGTATGTTATGAGCCTGGGCTCTTACCCTATTAATTCTATTTTGAGGTAAATATTATATCAGAGGGAGAAACAGAAGGAAAGCTTATAGCTCAAACCAAAGAAATCCCACCCTTCTAAAAAGGGCCTATTTCTTCTTTGATGACTGCCATGCCACGTATGTTCATAATCCTAAAAACCAGATTGTAAGACAAGGACATGCGATCCTTTAAATTTTACTATCTTAAAGCCAGAGCTACCTTTTTGGTCTACAGGACAGACAGCACTATTACCAGTTGATAGACAAGGAGCAGGTCTTGGAGTTCCACTACTAATTGTCAAAAATACTATAAGGACTCAAATGCATCCAACCCCTCAATACCAAGTCATTCTGTAAGCATTTTGATCAGCCAGTGCCCGAGGTTCCCCCATCAACCAAAAACTTATTTGCTCAACTAGCTGAAAACACAGATGGCAGCTTAAAAATTTCTTCATGCTATGTATGTAGAGAAACTAATATGGAGAATGAGTGGCAATGGGAGGCAAAGGAATTAATGCCACAAGATAACTTCACTTTGCTTAACCCTGCCAGTGAACCAACAGCCTCAGCCAGTGTTTGATTGTTAAAAATCTCCATAACTGGAAAGTACTGTATCACTCGATGGGGAAAGGCTTTCACAGAGGCAGTAGGAAAAACAACCTGCCTAGGGCAACAGTATTATTACGAGACTAAAAACAAAACTCTATGAAGAAATGCCCAGAATGACTCCTACTTACCAGATCCAAACACTTTCTCTGGATTCCTTACTCTAAGCTGCACTTGGCATCAGGTAGATGATTCAAATGCTTGAAAGGCACCCTCTGGCCTATATTGGATCTGTGGAGCATGGGCATATTGGCAACTGCCAGCAAAATGGGCAGGGGCGTGTCTGTTAAAAGCAATCAAGCCATCCTTCTTTCTAATTCCTCTAAAGCAAGGGAAATTCTTAGAATATCCAGTTTATAATAAAAATAAAAGAAGAACTAGAAAAAGCATAATCACAAAAGTAACAAAAATATCAAAAAAGATGTGGACACAGGAGACTAAAAAGATAATAAATGACCTCCTGAAAGAATCATGACATGCTATGGGCCAGCTACCTAGGTGCAAGACAGGTCATGAGGGTACTGCACCATAATCTATATCCTCAGCCGCATCATGAAGTTGCAGGCAGTCCTTCAAATCATAACCAATGAAATATCGAGGGCACTAGATTTATTGGCAATACAAGCAACACAAAAAGGAAATGCTATATATCAAAATAGGCTGGCTTTAAATTATCTCTTATCCTCCGAAGGAGGAATATGTAGAAAATTTAATTTAACCAACTGTTGCCTAGAAATCAATAGCCAAGAAATCAATATTAGTGGTCATAAAAATTACAGCTAGAATGCACAAGTTGGCCCAGGTTCCACTTCAGACTTGATCCAGGTAGTCCCCGGATTCCTTGTTTGGAGGATGGTTCTCAGCATTTGAAAAATTCTAAACCCTCATTAGTAGGTTCTTGCTTATTCTTTGCATCTGCCTTATCCTCCCTTGCCTTTTGTCTCTGTTTATTAGGAGTATTCAGTCAACTATGGAGGCAATGGTAGCCCAAAACACTACTGTACAGTCTGTACAGTTGATGCATTAACCAGATATCAGCCACCGCCAGAAGAAGAAAAAGCTCAGCTCCATGAAGACTTGGCAAATAATGGTGCTTTCTATTAACACCTCTGTTATAAAAAGCACCAATGGGGAGAATGGAACAGGAATTATAAGAGATTAAAGAGTGTGTAAGCAGAAACTCACTTGTGTGTAAGAAAACCCAACTTCTGTTGAGAAAGAGTAAGAGCTGGAGTCCTTTAAAAACTAACTGCCTGTTTTTCTGTGGCTAGTGATCCTTATCTCTCCTCCTTTCCCAGGGATTGTGAAGACCCTGTTTCCCAAGCTGTAAAGCTGCAAGGTCACTAGACAGATAAATTCAAGTCACAAAACAGGTTTTTCCTTGAAAAGTAAGAAATAATGTAATGCATGTCTCAATTGAATAACTGTCTTTGTTTCTTGCTTCTGTAGTATGATTCTCCCTGCACAAATCTCTCCCCACCCATGAAATGCTTAAAAGGTAACTTAACTCTTTGTTCAGGACTCATTCTTTGGATGTTAATCCACTGGACCAGTGCACCTAAATAATTAATAAATACCCTCCTGAACCCCATCGGCCTCTCTGATTTCTTAAAATTCCACTACATACAGACTTCTCTACTATTGACCCCCACATTCTTTTCTTCCACACAGGAAGTCCACATATAAAATCGTGTGTGAAACTATTCTATTTGAGGTGTATTTCTGTGCCCTAGGATCCAGGTAATCCCTTACATTTTAAATTCTTGCTTTTTTGTGGCTCACAGTATGATGTTATCAAAAATTAGGCAAATATTCTGATACTTTCTTAATTTTACAAGGGGGAGAATTGTCCTTAGATAATTACATTCTGGAAAGGCCATAATGAGCAACTCTGGACCTGATTGATTGTCATTTTTGGGTCCACTGCAGGGCTGCATACTAAGGGACAGTGGTCATTCTGAGTTCATAGAAAAAACCTGACATGAGAGGGGACATTTTGCTAGACATGCCACCTGGTGCACAGAGCTGAAAAATGAGACCTGCTGGTGACGTGCTTATCAAGCTTAGGGTCTTGAGGGCTTTTTAAATTCAGTGCTTTAAAAGCTGGCCTCACATCCTGAGTTCAGAAAAACCAAAATTTTTTGTTTTCTATAGACTTTTTGGTTGAAAATCCCTTTTCCATGGACTTTTAAACTAGTTATTTACAGCACAAGCCCCATGTCTAGTAACAAAGTTGTCAGCCATCTTCAAAATGTGTTTTTATTAATACTTTATTTTTAAGCTTTATTAACTAAAGATATATTTATTTATAGTCACTTTGAGTCTCCAGGATAAATATTAGTCTTAAATTGTTATTTCTCATAAAGTCTTGGAGGTTGCTAAGTTCTACTGTTTTGCACGTAAAGAATCAAGAAACTCTTTAGTACAATATTAGAAAATACTTGTATTTACTTAGATTTTATAGTACTATTTTTATTTTTCTTTTTATTTCTTAGATATAGGTACTCAAATTTCTACAAACTGACAACATAATATGCTTACTTGAAAATATTACCAGAATAATTGAAGTTGATAATTAAAAATGAAAGATAAAAAATGTGAGAATTGCTGAAGCCTTGTGGTGGGTATGTATGATAAATGTTAGTTTATAATTCTCCCTATGTTTGCTAAGATTTTTTATTTTCATAATATCTTTTAAATATATAATTTAAACATCTTCTCACATGTTTTATCAATAAATTTAGGAGTTCAATATTGAATTTGAGTGTTGAAATTGGTTACAAATGAGGGACAAAAGAGCAGCTTTCTAATTGGCCATACACTAAAAGTACCAGCAACTGTGGACAGGGGTGCCACTAACACACTTTATTTAACATTTTTGCTGTGAGTCATTTTTGATAAGGAATATTTTAACCTTATGATGACATCATAACAAGTTTCTAATAATCAGTGACTCAGAGTGGTCTTCAATAGTGTACTATTATTTAATTTACATTTCTGGCCTGGTAAATCTAAGCAGGTAATTTATGTCTATTAATACATTTTACAATTGTAATTTTTTTCTTATAACTATTTGCCATGAAGATTTTAATGTTATAACTATATCTTTGTCTTTTCCTCTTTATTTAACATGCCTTGAGATGAACAATAAATGGGTTTGGTTTTACAGTCTGTGACTTAGTTCTCCAAAAGTCAACAGTTTCATTTGGAAACATTTTAGAGGGATATAATCTTATAACAAAACCATCACATGTTTTAAGTGTACAATTCCAAGTTCTTAAAGTGTATTTACAGACACCCATAACCACAATCTAATTTTGAAATCAACTTATCACTATGGAAAAAGAAATTAATCTCTTTTGTACTTACTGATTTCATTACCCTGGTCATAGGCAATCATTAGCCTGTTTTTATATATAAGCCTTTTATTAAAAGTTATTTTAAGTGAAATCATAAATTATCTGCCCTTTTGCATTTGGTTTATTTTACTTACTTTAGTGATTTTGAGGTTTTTTCCTGACATAGCAGGTATTATTACTTCATTTTCTTTGTTTGGCACATAGTATTTTATTGTATGGACACACCACACGTTATTTTTTCTGTTATTATTTGATGGATATTTTGGTTTTATCCCCTTTGGGCTATTACAAATACTGCTCCTTTGATCATTTACATCTGATTCTTTGTGTAGTCATAGGTTTTCATTTCTTTTGAGTACGTAACAGAGTAAAATGTCTCAGTCATATGGTGATACTATTTATAGCATTTTGAATAATTGCCAAATTGTTCTTTAAATCGGTTGTTTTTTACACTCCCACATACAATGTGTGAGGCTTTCATATTTTTGATATCTTTGGCAACCTTTTTTATTGCCTTTTACAGGTCTTCTAGTAAGTATGTCATTGAGCTTTTGATTTGCATTTCTCTAAACTAATAATGTCACATATTTTAAATTTAATGACAAATTTTGCTTCTTATCTGTAGAAATTTTTAATTCAAATTCCTTGCACATTTTTCAAGTAGTCAATTGTCTATTTATTATTGATTTATAAGACTTTGTGTATTTGAGCAAGATGGCTGAATAGACAAACCAAGGTGGAACAGCTGACACCAAGGGACCAGGATGACTGGCACACTCTTAACCGAGGGCAGGTACTGATAGTGATGGAGGAAAGACACAACATCTGAACTTAAGATTCAGAAGCTGGGAACCCTGCACAGGGCTAAAGCACAGTGGAACTGATTTCTGGCCCCCAGTGACTCTGAGAAAAACAGGTGAGTTTAAGTGGCAAGGAGCTACCTGCTTTCCTGACTGGCCTCTGGAATCCCACTGGCAGAGACCCTCTGACCATCATGGAAAATGAGTTGAAAGGAAGAGCTGCTTAGAGAAGTGACAGGGGCAGCACACCAGCCAGTGCACAGCCAAGAGGGTTTATTGTGGGAACATGTGTAGTGAAGCATGTCCAGGGATGCCCACACCAATAAGCTTAACTTGCTCCCATAAGAGACGTTAGCCCTAGGGGAAATTTTGGACAAAAAGTCTGCAGGGTGGTGGCCCATCAGATGGGGCTGTTTTGACCTGAGCTTGCGTTGGTGTGCTGGCCTCTCCTGCGACCCCAATTCGGCCCTGCATGCTTGCAGTGCAGCCTTGAGTACCCTGGGGGCCTGCATCATAGATCCTGAACTGGCAGATCATGTCTGACTAGTAGACAGCTCCAGTGGGGTGACCCCATCCAGGCATCAGCCTGCCTGCTGCCTCTCCTCACTGCAGCTTCCCCCCAAGGCCCATTGCCACCCCACACATCACTATGCTGGTGTGTGTGTGTGTGTGTGTGTGTGTGCATGGAAGGATCTTGCTTTCCCTGTCCTGTCAGTGCACATGTGCATATGCATTCTGCCCTGGCACTGCTGTTGGTAGGAGTGTACTCCAGGCCCCCTCTCCTGCTATACCACCACTGCAGACAGAATCTTGGGGGAAACAGAGGCCATCTGCCCCACAACACCAGCACCCTGCTCCTTTGTCAACACTGTCATTTGAGTACAACTAAGCACAAAAAACAGCATACTCTCCTCAGCCCTGAGCAGCCACCTTCGCCTGCATGAATACACACAAAACCACTTGACTGAGCCAACCTTATAACACAATTAAACCCTTAAGGTCATCAAGCAGAATAAAAGGAAAAATCCAAAAGTTGACAACTTCAAATATTAAAGAAATATCACCCCAGAAAGATAAGAAAGAACAAGCACAAAACCTCTGACAACTCAAAAAACCTGAGTTCCTCTTTTCCTTCAAATGGTCACAGTACCTCTCCAGTAAGGTTATAAATCAGTCCAAGATAGCTAAAATTACAGAAATCAAATTCAGAATATGAATAGAAATAAAGATCATTAAAATGCAGAAGTAACTTGAAACTCAATTCAAAAACGTTAAGAATCATAATGAAATGATACAGGAGCTGAGAGACAAAAGAGCCAGTATTAAGAGCATAACTAACCTGAGAGAGCTAAAAAAATCACACTAAATTTTTTTATAAGAAATTCACAACTATTAATAGTAGAATAGACAAAGCTAAGGAAGAATCTCAGAGTTTGAAGACTGTTTATGTGAAGTAAGACATACAGACAGAAATAAAAAAGAGTAATAAAAACCCCCAAGCCTCTGAAAAATATAAGATTATGTAAAGAGACCAAAGGTATGACCCACTGGTGTTCATGAAACAGGTGGGGAGAATGGAAGCCATTTGAAAAACATATTTTAGGATATCATTCATGAGAACTTCCCCAACCTGGGGAATGCTGGCTAGAGAGGCCAGCATTCAAATTTAGGAAATGCAGAAAACTCCAGTAAGATACTTCATAATATAATAATCACCAAAACACATAGTTATCAGATTGTTCAAGCATGAAATAAAAGAAAAAATGTCAAATGCAGCTAGAGAGGAAAGGGAGGTCAACCACAAAGGAAAGATTATCAGTGTAAAAGTACGCCTTTTAGCAGAAATCCTACAAGCCAGAAGAGACCAATACCAATATTTAACCTCCTTGAAGAAAATAAATTCCAATCAACAATCTCGTATTTGGCCAAACTAAGCTTCATAAGTAAAGGAGAAATAAAGTTCTTTTTAAACAGGCAAATGCTGAGGAAATTCATTACTACAAGACATGCCTTACAAGAGCTCCTGAAGGAAGAACTAAATATAGGTGAAAAAAACCTTTATTAGCCACTAAAAAAACACACTGAGGTATACAGACCAGTTGCGCACAAACAAGTCTGCATAATAAGCAGCTACCATTATAATGGCAGCATCAAATGCACACATATCAACACTAACTATGAATGTAAATGGGCTGAATGTTCCAATTAAAAGGCAAACAGTGGGAAACTGGATAAAGAACAAAGAACCAATGATATGCTGTCATCAAGACTCATTTCACATGCAATCAGTTTCATAGGCTGAAAATGACGGGATAAAAATCTACCAAGCAAATGGAAAACAGCAGAAAGAATGGGTTGCAACCCTAAGTTTAGACAAACAGACTTTAAAACAACAAAGATTTAAAAAGGCAAAAAGGCATTACAAAATGCTAAAGGGTTAAATTCAACAAGAATATATGTATTCATATTTAAATATATACATTTTAAATATATACACACCCAACACAGGAACACCCAAATTCATAAAGCAAGTTCTTAGAGGTCTTTAAAAAGACTTAGATTCCTACACAATTATAGTGAAAAACTTCAACAACCCATTGACAATATTAGATTATTAAGGCAGAAAATTAACAAGATATTCAAGATCTGAATGCAGCACTGGATCAAATGGATGTAACAGACACTTTCAGAACTCTCCACCAAAAACAACAACATATACGTTCTCATTGCCACATGGCACATACTCTAAAATCAACCACTTAATCGACATAAAACTGTTCTCAGAAATTATAAAAGAATTCAAATTATGACAACCACTCTCCGAGACCAGAGTACAGTAAAATTGGAGGTAAAAGTTGAGAAAACCAATACTCAATACCATATGATTACATAAAAATTAAATAACTCACTCCTGAATGACTTTTGTGTGAATAATGAAATTAAGGCATCAATCAAAAAGTTATTTGAAAGTAATGAGAACAAAGACACAACCTACCAGAATCCCTGAGATGCAACTAAATCAGTGTTGAGAAAAAAACTGATGTTGCTGAACACCCACCACAAAAAGTAACAAAGATCTCAATTTAACCACTCAATATCACAACTAAAACATCTAGAGAATGAAGAGCTATCCAACCCCAAAGCTGGAAGAAGACAGAAATAACCAAAATCAGAGATAAACTGAGATTAGGACACACACAAAGAAACTAAAAGATTAATGAATCCAGGAGTAGGTTTTGTTTTAAATGTGGACTACTAGCTAGACTAATATAGAGGAAAAGAGAGAAGATCCAAACAAAGACAATCAGAAACAACAAAGGGGATATTACCACTGGCTCCTCAGAAATAGAAATAAACATCGGAGAATATGATGAACACCTTTATGCAAAAAAACTACAACACCTAGAACAAATAGATAAATTCCTGGACATGTACACCTTTCCAAGACTGAACCAGGAAGAAATTGAATCCCTGAACAGACCAATAACATGCTCCAAAATTGAATCTGTAATAAATAGACTATCAATTTTAAAAAGCCCAGGAAAAGACGAATTCCCAGCCAAATTCTACTGGATATGCAAAGAAGAATTTGGTATCATTCCTACTGAAACTCCCAAAAATTTGAGGAGGATCATCTTCCTCACTCATCCTATGAGGCCAGCACCCTTCTGATATCAAAACCTGGAAGAAAAGCAAAAGAAAGAAAAATTTCATATCTTTGATGAATATTGATGCAAAAATTCTCCATAAAATACTGGCAAACCAAATCCAGCAGCACACCAAAAAGCCTATCCACCACAATCAAGTAGGCTTTTTCCCTGGGATGCAAGGTTGGTTCAACATATGCAAATCAATAAATGTGATTCATAATACAAACAGAACGAAAGACAAAAACCTCATGATTATTGTAATAGATGCAGAAAGAGCTTTCATTAAAATTCAAAACCACTTTATGTTAAAACTCTCCATATACTAGGTATTGAGGAAACATGCTTTGAAATAATAAAAGTCATCTATGACAAACCCACAGCCAACTTTATACTGAATGGGTGAAACTGGAAGCATTTTTCTTGGAAACTGGCACAAGACAAAGATGCCCTCTCTTACCAGCCCTGTTCAACATAGTATTGAAAATCCTGGCCAGAGCAATCAGACAAGAGAAAAAAATAAAGGCATTCAAATAAGAGGAGAGGAAGTCAAACTACCCATTTGCAGATTGTATTAGTCAGTGTTCTGTGTTTATGGATTGGAAGAATCAATATTAAAATGTCCATGCTACACAAAGCAAGCTACAGATTCAACGCAATTTCTGTAAAAATACCATTGACATTCCTCACACAAATAAATACAACAGCTCTAAAAAATCTTAAATTTATATATAATCACAAAAGACCTAGAATAGCTAAAGCTATCCTGAGCAAAAAGAATAAAACTGGAGGAATCCCATTACATAGCATACATTATTACATTACACAAAATTATACTACCGATGTGTAGTAACCAAAACAGCATAGTACTGGCATAAAAACAGACACACAGGAAAATGGAGCAGAATAGAGAACCCAGAACCAAACCATCCATCTACAGTGAACTCATTTTTTACATAGGCACCAAGAAAATATATTAAGAATAAAAACTCAGTCTCTTCAATAAACAGTGATGGTAAATCTGGATATCCATATGCAGAGGAATAAAACTAGACCTCTATCTTTTGCCATGTGCAAAAACTAAATCAAAATGGATTAAATATTTAAATGTAAAACTGCAAACTATGAAACTTCTGAAAGAAAACATTGGGGAAATTCTAAAAAACCTTGGATTAAGCAAAGATTTCTTGAGTAACACCTCACAAGCACAGGCAACCAAAGCAAAATGGAAAATTGGTATCACACCAAGTTATAAAATTTTGCATGGCACAGAAAAGAATCAACAAAGTCAGAAAACAACCCACAGAATGAAAGAAAATATTTTCAAACTACCTATCTGAAAATGGATTTGTAACCAAAACATAGAAGGCGCTCAAATAACTCTATAGAAAATAAAATCTAATAATCCTATTTTAAAAAATAGGCAAAATATGTAAACAGACATTACTCCAATAAAGACACGCAAATGGCAAATAGGTATATGAAAAGATGATCAACATCATGAATCATCAGAGAAATGCAAATCAAAATTACAATGAGCTATTACCTCACCCCAGTTAAAGTGGGTTTTAGCTAAAAGGCAATAACAAATGCTGACAAGCATGCGGAGAAAAGGGAACCCTCATATGCTGTTGGTGGGAATGTAAGTTGGTGGAACCACTATGGAGAACAGCTTGAAGGTTCATCAGAAAACTAAAAATAGAGCTTCTGTACAATCCAGCAATTTCACTGTTAGGTATATATCCAAAAGAGAGAAAAATCTGTGTATTGAAGTGATAGCTGTACTCCTGTGTTTACTGCAACACTATTCACAATAGCCAAGATTTGGAAGTAACATAGGTGTTTATCGACAGATGAATAAACAAAAAAGTGGTACATATACACAATGTAGTACTATTCAGACATAAAAATGAATGAGATTCTGTCATTTGTAAAAACATGGGTTAAACTGAAGGTCATTTTATTAAGTGAAATAAGCCAGGTATAGAAAGACAAACTTCACACGTTCTCACTTATTTGTTAAAGCTAAAAATTAAAACCAAAGAATTAATGGAGATAAAGAGTAGAATGATGGTCTCCAGAGGCTGAGAGAAGTAGTAGAAGGTTGAGGGCGGGGAGGTGGGAATGGTTAATGGGTATAAAAATATAGTTAGAAAGAATGAATCAGTTCTAGCATTTGACAGCACAAGGTGACTCTAGTTAAGAATAATTTAAGTGTACATTTTAAAATAACAGAAATTGTATAATTTGGTTATTTGAAATCCAATAGTAATACTTCATGTGATGAATACCCCATTGACTCTGATGTAATTATTACACATTGTATGACGGTATCAAAATATTCTATATACTTCATAAAGGTATACACCTACTATGCACCCAGAAAAACCAAAAATAAAAAAATTAGGATATACTTTAAGACAACAAATACTATTACTAGAGATGAAGATAGATTATAATTAGAAGGATAAATTCATGAGGAAAATAAATTAACATATATGAATGTAACAAAAGTTCACAGAAGTACATAAAGCAAAACATAAAGGCAGAAATAGTTGCAACAATAGTTTCAACAATAAAAATTGCAAGCTTCACTTCCCCACTTACACTATTGGGTAGAAGAACTAGACATAAGAGAAACAAGGAAATAGAAGACATGAATAACATAAACCAAATAAAACTAGAGATATATGGAGAACTCTTCACCCCAAATCAGAATGTATATTCTTCCCAAATGCACATAGAACATTCTCTAGAATGGAGAATATGCTGCATCATAAAAAAAATCAATAAAATTGAAAGATTGAAATAATAAAATGAATGTTTTCTAATCACAAAAGAGAAAATTAGAGACCAAAAAAGCAAGAAATTTGGGAAATGCAAACATGTGTGCATTAAATGACACAATCTTAAATAATTAATGAATAAAAAATGTACAAATAGTGTCAGAGAATATTTTAACATAAATAGACATTTAGACAAAACATAATAAAATTTATGAGACTTAGTGAAAGTTGAGCTCTGAGGGAAACAGCAGAATTACTTTATAAAAAACAAAGAAATCTTAAATTAATAGCTTAACGCTTATGGAAGCATTTAAATAAAAATGAACTACCCAGTTCACCTGGAGCAAACACTATCAGTGGGGTAAAAAGGTAGTCACGCTGACAATCGTAGGAGGAAATACTTGGAAACAAGACACTGAGAATTAGGATAGTGATAGTACTCCTTGGAATCTAGAAAAAAATGGGGATGCTCTAGGCTAGACAGATTCTCAGGAAAAACGCTAAAACACTAAGCTCCCACCTGTTTGTCTTTTAATCTCTGCATGAACAGAAAGTATAGGCACAAGCAGAGTTAGGACTTTATGGCACACATAGAGATTCTAGATGAAAGGATCAGAAGATTCATATTTTGAGAGGGCTAAAATATCTACAGTCTTGCTGTCCTATTAAAGTTTAGTGAAACTATATTGCAGATTCGCATTGCTCACTTCTTCCAGTAATCCAGTGATCTAGTAAAGCTTGATTTTGCCATTTGAATCCTCTGATAAATGAAGTCAGCCTCTAACTTGAGGTACTTTTTGGGATGTTGGAGTTATGGTCACCATGACGTTACTATTGGTTACACTAATTTGTAAGTCAACAATGAGCTTGCTACAGAGCTGTGAAACTGAATTCTGACCCCTGAGGGAGGTCGTTAGCTTGATCTTTCTGTTTTTAGATGGGTCGATTTGAACTCTATGAAAAAGACCACAGGAGGCCACTTGGTAAATAGAAATAACATATTCTAGAAGGAAATTAGACTAAAATAGAAACGGCACTAAAGTAAAAATTAAAATTCATATTCGGTAGAAATTTTATGCCACCCTCTACTATCTCAAGCAAACTTTCTGACTCTGTGGGACTCCCCAATTTACTGAATATTTTCTAAATATCTGTTCCTGGTTCACTAATGGGCCAGGGAAGATGACACCTCATGGTGTTCACTGGGCTGGTGTGGGTGTTTGATCTCATTGTCAGCCAATGAGGAACCTGAATCTGGGGTGATTACTTCACTCAATTGTCAGAACTGAGAGTTCCGGGTTATTGCCACATTCTACGTGTTTAGGCTTCCATATTGAAAATGATTAACTGTCTAATTAAGAACATCTTCTTTGGGGCTGCAAACTGAAATTTATCTTAGCTGCTGATCTAATTGTCAGGCCATTAATTTAGAAGTTCACAATTAGGGTTATGTCTCCAAAGAGATGAACAACAATCAAGCCTAAATCCCTGTCTACTGCAGAGGTCATCACTGCATGCCAGGTTGGTGGTTCTTGGAGAAAGTTGATCTACGTGTCCCATGTATGGGGAAGTCCCAGACCATTTCTGGCAGAATGACTGTCTTAGACTTTTGACCCGTTACTTGAAGTATTTGTCACTACTGTTGACACTTTCAGCATAAAGATCAGCTGACTCCAGCCACATTATGTGTTACTTGAAGCTAATCCATGTCATCTTTTAGGTATTTGAGACCGCTTAAATTCTCTCTTTTTTTTTTTTTTTTTGCTTTTATCACCATATCTATTAAAATGAGCCAATAGTCTCATTTTAACTTATTTTCCTCATCAGGGTCCACAGCTTTTGGTTAGGTAATGTGTTGATTAAATGGTTTATTAGTCACCTTCTTTGGTCCCAGAAGAGATTATCTCCTGTTGACTGTCTCTAAGATATAGATAACATTGTTATTGAGTAAAAGGAGCTCACTTCTTGAAGTGCTAGAAGCCAATACTATGACATCAGGTTTTTAAGAGAAAGCAATTTTATACTGAAACGTTACTCTCAAGCTCATTGCCTCCTCATGGATGTCATGGGCAAACTGAAGGGGAGTTGTGATGAAACAGGCAGTGAAAATTCAGACGGTGACCTCAGCAAGGTGATTCTGCCAAAACACCATTTGGCCATAATGATTCCACCAATTTAAGCCAGTTTGTTTATTTCATAAGTAGAGGGAGTTTCAGTGTTTTGGCAAGTTGTGTTTTTGTTTTTTTTTTCTTTTCTGTTATTCTGCAAGCTCAAGATTTTCTGTTAGATACTGGCTTTCTTTTAACTCTGCAGAAGTGTTGCAAAATGATTGGGGCTATAGGAATCTATTTTCCAAATCTGAGTTTCCACACTGACATTCCTGGGCAAGATGTGATTTCTCCTAACTGCAACCTCCAGGCAGCCTGGTTTGTATGATTTCTGAGTAGCAGCCCAGTCAAAAAAGGGGTTATGGAACTCCAATTTAGTTCTGATTATGGTGTATATAAACATTCTTGTCTCTATTACAACTGGATCTACTACATAAAATGTCTACAGCAAAATAGGAGGGGATCAGATAAAGGTACAATTATAAGTATTGGAATGGATCACATTAATTCTGAGGATATAGAAGGGGAGCAACAACCTGAAACCAGGGGAGTGAACGACTTAGATCTCAGGAGCTATGGGAAATGGATAGGCATGAATAACCTCTTTTCCTTCTGAATTGCCCCTGGCACACTCCAGAAAAGTCTGGCAATAATTTTGGGATAGGATGAGAGTAGGGTTAGTTAGACCAGGTGGAAGTGCAAAGACTAAGTTTATTTTTTCCATTCCATCCCCCATATCACCCTTAAGAATCCTTTGGGCTGGGCACAGCAGCTCACACCCAGCACTTTAGGTGACCAAGGAGGGTGGATAACGAGGTCAGGAAATCGAGACCATCTGGCCAACATGGTGGAACCCAGTCTGTACTAAAAATATAAAAATTACCCAGGCAAGGTGGCACATGCCTGTAGTCCCAGCTATTTGGGAGGCTGAGGCAGGAGAATTGCTTCAACCTGAGAGACCAAGGTTGCTGTGAGCTGAGATGATGCCACTGCACTCCATCTTGGATGACAGAGGAAGACTCCATCTCAAAAAAAAAAAAATCCTTTGTAATTATCCCATTTCTCTGCAATGTAGTAATGAAATTCTAGTGAGGAGCATGCGTTCTCAGTGCCCAGTTGTCTGAGGCCACAGTTGAGTTGCTTCAGGGAAAAAACAAACAAACAAAAAAAAACCAAAACGAAAACACAAAAGCAAAAGCAAAAACAAAAACAAAAAACCCTATTGCTTTTGTTTTTTTCTAAAAAGATTAAATGCCCCATGGTTTAAAATAAGCTGGCTCTACAAAACATTGAATTCATCTTTTATTTTCTCTGTGAGCAGAGGCTCCTCCTTCTGTTTTTCTACCATCTAGAGATGAATCTATATTTGTCAATATTGACATAAATTGGAGACATAAATCATGTAAGAACCCTAGACAAGCCTTCAAAATAATCTGAGTCTTGCTCGTTTCTCTTCTCAATTATGTTGTCAGAGAGAGCTACCTGAGATGAAGTCTCTCAGGAATAGTTAGAACATTGCACTTCTAGAGAAGATGGTGAGACAGGGCAAGACTCACAGTGAGAATAAAAGCTTCTTCTCAATCTTTCAGTGTATCTGTTTCTGGTAGATGAATCCAGAAAAGATTCCAGAGCCAGGGAAGAGCTATTTGAGAGGGTAGAATCACTGTAGATCAGAGTACTAGGTCATATGTTTATTAGTCACCTTCTTTGGTCATATTCTCAGTGCTAAGCCTCTGATAGGGCTTCAGAGCAATGTATGCCTGTGAAAATCTCTAATTCCATTTGAAAGATGAAGTTCTGGCTCTGGGAGAAGTCTCCTATCTGACAGAACATCATGCTTCTGTGGGCATGAGATTCTGTGCCCTTCCTCAGCAGACACCACTGACTCAATAATTGTTTAAGAATCATGCATAAATAGGCCTTCCTTATCATGAATCTCTTAAATAACAAAACAGAGAAAACCCATTTATCCACGTTCAAATTGAATAAGAGTGTAAGAAACTTCACAGAAATTGTTATAGAAGGAAACTCTTGGGCTCTGTCCATCTCCAGAAATCTCAAAATTCTGGCACAATCTGTTACAATTAACCTTATCAGAGCTTGAATTTTTTTTTTGCTATATATATTTACCTTTAATTGGACCTTAATTTTGTTATATGTTTTAATTTAATTTTATTTTTTTGATGGAGTCTTGCTGTGTCTCCGAGGCTGTAGTGCACTGGTGTGATCTCAGCTCACTGAAAGCTCCACCTCCTGGGTTCACACCTTTTTCCTGCCTCAGCTTCCCTAGTAGCGGGGACTACAGGCGCCCGCCACCACACCCAGCAATGTTTTTGGACTTTTAGTAGAGACGGGGTTTCACCGTATTAGCCAGGATGGTCTCGATCTCCTGACCTTGTGATCCGCCTGCCTTGACATCCCAAAGTGCTTGGATTACAGGCTTGAGCCATCATGCCCGGCCAAGGATAAACCATTGTTTAACCTTTGTGATAGAAACATCAAATTCCCATATCCCAAGCATTAATAATACTGTCCACTGCAATTGTTATTGCTTATTAACTTTTTGCTATGGTCTGGATATTTGTGTTCCTCACTCTCCACATTCATATTTAAAAACTTAATCCACACGTGGATTCAGTGTGATACTATTAGTTATTGGAACTTTGAGAAAGTTATTAAGTCAGGAGGGCTGCATGTTAACGAGAAAATAATAGTGCCCGTGTGACGGAGGTTGAAAGGAATATTCATGCCCCTTCTGTCGTGTGAAGACATAGCTAGAAGGTGCTACTTGTGAGGAACAGAACCTCACAAGAAAGAGCCTCAGAAAGTTGTTATACAGCAGAACATCTTTCTCTCTTGAGAGATTCTGGCCAACAGTGCTGCATGGTGGACTGTCTTTAGAATGTGAGTTTTTGGTTACCAGAATACTTAGTACTGTTAGGACCTTTCACCAAAGAAATGAGGTCACTTCTTGAAGGTATTATTCTTCTTTCAATAAGACCTATCTTCCTTCAATAAGACCTACTCAAAGGCTTTTCTGCACTGCTGACTGCTCACCATTCTCTCCCAAGTCATCTGATTACTTGTGCACAATTATGCAAATACAGCACCTCCTGCACCAGTGCCGGAGGAAATGGAATGCAGCCAGAGCCACAAGTTTGAGGATACAAGCTGAGTTAAAGTCTTTATGTTTAATGTATTAATTATGTGATGCCAAGTATGTCATTGTGCCTCTCAGGGGCTCCATAGTCTCACAGCCTGCACAGTGGGGATTATGGTGGCATCCAGCTGCAAGGGATCTCATGAGATATGTATAAAATGATACGCATGACTGTTGGGTTTGATATTAAACACAGCTACTGCATAAACTTAGAGAAAGAAACTACAAGGGATGGGACATTGCTTGAATATCTCTCAAACATGCCTGGGTTTTATAACTTGAATCTTGAGAAAGTCATGTCCCCTCTTGAATTTATTTTTCAAACTCCACCATGAAAACATTGAAATTGAATAAAATTTAGATGTTGTTATTCTTTGGCCAGAACAACAACAATAACAACAACACACATTGTAGTACCTTCTCGTTATATTTAGAATCAGGCCCATTTGTCTCACCTTGGCATACGTAGTGCACAGCCTTCATGATGGCTCATAATAATTTTTATTTCCAACTATACACACCCAAATGTAAACAGTAAGTGGTTAGTGACTCACTTCATGGCAGTAGAATACATTGGAAAATAGGGAATGTCACTGCCAATATTTGATTATGAAAAGATTGTCACTTGCTTCTTACTTTCTCTCTCTTGTGATATTGTTTACTTCCTTTTTTCCTGTCTTTCTCTCTGTCTGTCGCATACTTTGCTCTGGAGAAGCGAGCTTCAGTGTTTTAAGCTTTCATTTTTACAGGCTTGTGTGACAGAGAATAGAGAGAGTGCCCTGACCAAAGACAGAAAGAAACTAAGAACTGAGTCAAAACAATAATGCACAACTAACCAGATTGAGCTCAGAAGTGCATCCTTCCCAGTCAAGCTTCAGTTGAGACACAGCTTCAGTCTCATGAGTGAGAGGTGACAGCATGCTGGCAGCCCTCACAGCCCTCGCTCACTCTTGGTGCCTCCTCAGCCTTGGTGCCCACTCTGGCCGCGCTTGAGGAGCCCTTCAGCTCACCGCTGCACTGTGGGAGCCCCTTTCTCAGCAGGCCAATGCCGGAGCCGGCTCCCTTATCTTGCGGGGAGCGGGCAGGAACCGCGGCTGCCCGCGGTGCTTCCGGGCCAGCGCGAGTTCCGGGTGGGCGTGGGCTTGGCGGCCCCGCACTTGGAGCGGCCAGCTGGCCCCGCCAGCCCCAGGCAGTGAGGGGCTTAGCACCTGGGCCAGCAGCTGCTGTGCTCGACTTCTCGCCAGGCCTTAGCTGCCTCCCCACGGGGCAGGGCTCGGGAACTGCAGCCCACCTTGCCTGAGCCTCTCCCCCACTCCTGCCAAGGGCTCCTGTGCGGCCCGAGCCTCCCCAACGAGCTCCACCCCCTGTTCCATGGCACCCAGTCCCATCGACAACCCAAGGGCTGAGGAGTTCGGGAGCACAGCGTGTGACTGGCAGGCAGGCAGCTCCACCTGCGGCCCTGGTGCGGGAATCCACTGGGTGAAGCCAGCTGGGCTCCTGAGTCTGGTGGGGACTTGGAGAAACTTTATGTCTAGATAAGGGATTGTAAATACACCAATCGACACTTTGTATCTAGCTCAAGGTTTATAAACACACAAATGAGCACCCCGTGTCTAGCTCAGGGTTTGTAAATACACCAATCAACACTCTGTATCTAGCTAATCTAGTAGAGACGTGGTGAACTTTGTGTCTAGCTCAAGGATTGTAAATGCATCAATCAGCACCCTGTGAAAAGGGACCAATCAGCTCTCTGTAAAACAGACCAATTGGCTCCCTGTAAAATGGACCAATCAGCAGGATGTGGGTGGGGCCAGATAAGAGAATAAAAGCAGCTGCCCGAGCCAGCAGTGGCAACCCTCTCGGGTCCCCATCCACACTGTGGAAGCTTTGTTCTTTCGCTCTTTGCAATAAATCCTGCTGCTGCTCACTCTTTGCGTCCACACTGCCTTTATGAGCTGTAACACTCACCACAAAGGTCTGCAGCTTCACTCCTGAGCCAGAAAGACCACGAACCCACCAGAAGAAAGAAACTCCAAACACATGCTGACATTAGAAGGGAAAAACTCCAGGCACGCTGCCTTTAAGAACTGTAACACTCACCGTGAGGGTCCGCGGCTTCATTCTTGAAGTCAGTGAGACCAAGAACCGACCAATTCCGGACACATGAGGACATTGTGGTAGACCCATTCAACTAAGCTGTGTCAGTATTTGTAGCCAACAGAAAATAAGACATAATGCATATTTGGAATTTTAAGCCACTACACATTGAGCTAATGAGTAGAATTATTTTTTCTAATTTTATTTACTGATTGCCCTTAGTTACTGTATAAAAGTGCAATTTAATATTGTGCATTTATCTTGTATCTTGTGACCTGCTGAACTCATTTATTAGTTCCAGTTGATTTTTGTAAACTCTTTAAAAATTCTTGAATATAAGTTGATGCCATTTACAATAAAAGTTTATTTTATAAATTTAGAAGTTTTATTTGTTTTTATTATATAATTTCTCTGCCTAACACCTTTAGTTCAATTTAGTAGAGTAGCGAAAGTAGCCATGCTTATCTGTTTCCCACAACTGTGAGGCAAAGAGCCTAGTCTTTCATCAGCAAGTGTAATATTAGTGGGAAATTTTTATGAATCCTTTTTAGTAGTTCCAGTAAGTTTTTCCTTCCTAGTATGTTAAGGATTTTATAATGAATCAGTGTTGTTTGTATCACAAGCTTTTCTGTGTCTATTAAAAGGATCATTTTATGTTCTTCACTTTATCAATGTTGTGTATTAAATTATTGGTTTTTAGATATTAAGCCACTTCATTTGTAAAAAGATTGTACTTGGCCATGGTGTATAATTACTTTTACGTGTTTCTGTATTTAACTTATTAGTACTTTTTGAGAATTATGTGTCTTTATTTATCAGCCGTATGTACCCATATTAATCCTAACACATGATGGGTTTGTCTGGCTTTGGTATAGTAATATTGGCCTCATAAAGTAGTTAGGGGTTGTTTATCTCTTATCTATGTATGGTGTGTATTTGTAAAGGATTGGTATTTTTATGAAATATTTTGTATAATTTAACAGTTAAAGTATTTGACTCTGATTTTTCTTTGTGGTAAGATTTTTAAAATAATTTAATCTTTCATTATAGGTCTCATATCTCCCACTTCTTGAGCTTCATTTGTTAAATTGGGCCTATCAAGTTATTTACTTCTAATTTGTAACAATCCATGTTTCCAGATATAGGCAGCTGGTATGCCTGTTATGTGGGATAATGTAGCTTTGTGAAAGTTTTACGTATTATGTGGGATAATGTAGCTTTGTTAAAATCAATAAATAGCCAAGTTTTTACTCAGCTTAAGGATTGAGACTATAATTTTTATACTTCATACTTGCATGTATTGCCTGAGTCAAAAAAGCTATTACATCTAAAAGAAACCAGTGAAACATATCATTTGACATGAAGTTTTATCAAAATGACACATTAGCCTAACCCCTTTTTCACAAATATTTAGAAAAGAAAAGAATAAATTTAAATAAGATTACAAAATAATTTAGTCAATAAAGAATATTATAAGGAATAAAAATTTAATGAATCAGGGTTATTAGTACTTAGTAGCCCCTACAATGTTTTAGAAATTATTCTAAGTCATTTACCCACATATACTTAATAGCTGAGTCTAAAACATATAATACAGAAATTTGTTAATAATGACAAATTGAAATATTTACAATTATATTAAATGACATTAAGACCATCAGAAATCAAATGTTTAACATACAGTAACTAAATAAACACAAGTAATGATAACTTTATTAGAAAGTATGACTACTAGCAAGAGAGAAAAATTAATAAAATTTTTCAGCAGTGAACCAAAGATACACACTGTATGACAGAGGGGGAAAATAAATGGCAAGGGTTTAGGCCTAACAATATCATTCATTTTATGAGAGCAGAAATTCAACAGCTCATATCTTTTAGGACACTAAAATGACAGTAGAAATTCTAAATTGTACTCAACAAGTAATATTTAGCCATGCACAAATTTTGTTTCATTAAATTAATTTATAAAATAAATATAAGATTTCATGAATTATTTTTGTGAGGTCAAGGACATACTAAAAGGAAGCACAGAGTTCTGTTCTCTGTAGTTAAGTATATATTTTCATAAAGGCACATAAAAGAAAATTTTAAGTATCAAAAGAACTACCCCTTACAAGTGACTATTACTACATATTTGAGAGAGATGTTTTGAATGAAGAAACGGAATATCTCATAAGATGTGGTTGTATGCTGCCCAATGCCTATGAAATATTCTACTCATGTGTACACTGCATATTTGTGCTTTCAGAAGAAAAGGCTACATATTTTTAAATATTTTAGTGTAGACAAGTAAAAGTTCTCAAGAAGCTACAAGAACTATGAAAATAATGAATACAGTTTAAAAATATAGAAGCACTTGATGAAAGCTAAAGTAAATCAAGAGAATAAGCCAGAGAAGTAATCAAACTGAAAAAAAGTGGTCCCTTCAGATACTGATAGATCACAAGGATGTCAAGTCTGTATGCTGTCCACCTTCCTCCAAGGGAAAATGGAATAAGCACAGAAATAACATGACTACAGACATCTCAAATGTGATATTTCCCAAATATTGGAACCAAGTTAAAAACTAAAGAACACAAGTAAATAAAAAGAAATTTCTGAAGAAAAACTAGGCCACCATTTTCCATATTCAAATATCATATTTGAATCACAGCTCGGTAGAATGTAAAGAATAAAAAAATTAGGACAAGGTATAGGTGAAACACTAAATTAAACAGAGATAAAAAATTACCTGAGTATTGAATAGAATGAATATAACCAAATATAGTAAAGAGAGATGACATATCATAAGATATAGTTTTAACAAGATAAAGGCTGGGATGAGACGCTAAACATCTTAATTATTTTATTAGAACAAAAAGTATGAATGAGGCAGAGCAAATAAGGCCAGCCAGATCCAAGATTTGGGAAAAGAAAATCTTCCCCTCCATGGAAGCAGCCTCAAGTGTACATTGCAGAGGGCCCAGATCAGAGAGGAATGAGAAGTGGTTGCCATTCTTGCAATCAGTGTTATCCGTTTTCTTGCAGCCCAGGTTTATATAACTGTTCTAAGTCCAGTAAATTGTCTATAGCTGCACATCTATTAAGAGGCTGAGACAGCAGTCAGGACCAACTTTGCTAAATGTCCATAAACTACTCTACCTCATGGAAATTCTCTGGATCTTGGAGACTCTGGAGAGTGACGCTTCTGCAAATAGAGGCATAATTTATTTGAGATTTTTATCCATCTGTTATTATCCTTTACTGTTAGGAATAATCTTCTCTGAAAAATGCTTTTGACCCACCTTGGAAGGTCTTTTAATAGTTTGGGAAAGTGGGGCATGGCAAGGTGGCTCATGCCTGTAATCCCAGCACTTTGGGAGGCTGAGATGGGTGAATCATGAGGTCAGGAGATCCAGACCATCCTGGATAATACGGTGAAACCCTGTCTCTACTAAAAATACAAAAAAGTAGTCGGGCGTGGTGGCAGGTGCCTGTAGTCCCAGCTACTTGGGAGGCTGAGGCAGGAGAATGGCATGAACACGGGAGGTGGAGCTTGCAGTGAGCCGAGATAGCTCCACTGCACTCCAGCCTGAGAGACAGAGCAAGACTCCGTCTCAAAACAAAAAAAAAAAAAATTGGGAAAATGGCTGAGGGCTGAGGTTAGAAATCCAAGGTAAAACATTATGTTATATATTTTACATCATAGAAGAAATTTGAGAACACATAGAATACAATCCGCTATTCATAATTTTTTTTGAGCATTTTCAGGCTATGTTTTTGACATAGACTAAGTTGAATTACTGTGCCAGAGACAATCTCGTGTCTAAAAGCAAGTGACATAAAAATAGATCTGCAAAGATACATTTTCTCCCGCTTTAATTTAAGTAAACAGCTGAGTACATCTTCAAGTTGTACTTTGAGTTCAGTAAGATAAATCTGTTTTTTAAGACTCCAAATCTAGCACTAACAATGGGTCAAATCCCTGCAACAGACATGAAAATCACAAACAGCTAATGCGTTCCTCATCCTGAAATTCTCGCTGCCAGCACAGCAGTCTGAAGTTGACCTGGGCCAATTGAGGTCAGTTGGAGGGAGTGGAGTCCACCATTACTGAGGCTTTAGTAGACAGTTTTCCCCTGACGGTGCCAAGGAGGCTGGAAGGTCCGGGTTGGGTGCAGCAAAGTGGCTGTGGCAGACTGCTTCTTTAGAGTCCTCCTCATTGGGCAGGTCATATTTGAAGGAAAGGTAACAGCCCTAGTCAGAGGCTTACACAGAAAACCTCTATCTCCCTGGGACAGAGCACATGGGGGAAGGGGAGGCTGTGGGTGCAGCTTCAGTGGATTTCATCATTCCTGCCTGCTGGCTCTGAAGAGAGCAGCTGATTTTGACTAGAGGGATTCTGCCAGCACAGTGCACCAGCTCTGCTAAGAGACAGACTGTCTCCTCAAGTGGGTTCCCCGTGACTCCTGACTGGGAGAAACCTCCTAACAGGGGTTGACAGACACCTCATACAAAAGGGCTCCAGTTGGCATTGGGCGGGTATCCTCCTGGGATGAAGTTTCCAGAAGAAGGAGAAGGCAGCAATCTTTGCTGTTCTGCAGCCTTTACTGGTGACACCCAGGTGAACAGGGTCTGGATTGGAACTCCAGCAAACTGCACTGGACCTGCAGAAGAACCTTGCTGTTAGAAGAAAAACTAACAAGCAGAAAGCAACAACATCAACATCAACAGAAAGGACCCACCCAAAAAAAACCCCATCCAAATGTCATCAGCCCCAAAGATTGAAAGTAGATAAATCCATGAAGATGAGGAAAAAACAGCACAAAAATGCCAAAAATTCCAGAAACAAGAATGCCTTTTCTCCTCCAAATGATCACAACACCTCTCCAGTAATGACACAAAACTGGATGGAGAATGAGATTGAAGAATTGACAGAAGTAGTCTTCAGAAGGTGGGTAATAATAAACTCCTCTGAGCTAAAGAAGTATGTTCTAACACAATGCAAAGAAGCTAAGTATCTTGATAAAAGGTTATGGGAACTGCTAACTAGAATAACCAGCTTAGAGAGAAACATAAATGGCCTGATGGAGCTAAACAATGCCTTTAAGTTATATGGGACTATGTGAAAAGACCAAACCTACGATTGATTGGTATACCTCAAAGTGACGGGAAGAATGGATCCAAGCTAGAAAACAAACTTTAGGATATTATCCAGGAGAACTTCCTCAACCTAGCAAGACAGGCCAACATTCAAATTCAGGAAATACAGAGAACATCACTAAGATACTCCTCGAGAAGAGCAACTCCAAGACACATAATCGCCAGACTCTCCAAGGTTGAAATGAAGGAAATAATGTTAAGGGCAGACAGAGAGAGAAGTCAGGTTACCTACAAATGGAGGCCCATCAGACTAACAGCAGATCTCTTTGCAGAAACTCTAGAAGCCAGAAGAGAGTGGGGGCCAATATTCAACATTCTTAAATAAAATAATTTTCAACTCAGAATTTCATATCCAGCCAAACTAATCTTCAAAAGCAAAGGGGAAATAAAGTCCTTCACAGACAAGCAAATGCTGAGGGATTATGTCACCACCAGGCATGCCTTACAAAATCTCCTGAAGGAAACACTAAATATGGAAAGGAAAATATGGTTCACCACTGCAAAACCACACCAAAATATAAAGACCAATCGATACTATGAAAAAACTGCATCAACGAATGTGCAAAATAACCAGCTAGCATCATGATAACAGGATCAAATTCACACATAACAATATTAACCATAAATATAAGTGGGCTAAATACCTCAATTAAGAGACAGAGCCTGGCAAATTGGTTAAACAGTCAAGAATCTTTGGTGTGCTATATTCAGGAGACACATCTCACATGCAAAGACACACATAGGCTTAAAATAAAGGGAAGGAGAAATGGCAAATGGAAAGCAAAAAAAGCAACAACAACAACAAAAAAAGCAAGGTTTCAATCCTAGTTTCTTGTAAAACAGACTTTAAACCAAGATGAAAAAAGACAAAGAAGGGCACTACATAAAGGTAAAGGGATCAATGCAACAAGAAGAGCTAACTATCCTATATATATACCTACCCAACAGAGGAGCACTGAGATTCATAAAACAAGTTCTTACAGACCTATAAAGAGACGTAGACTCCCACACAATAACACTGGGAAGTTTTAACACCCCACTGCCAATATTAGACAGATCAATGAGACAGAAAATTAACAAGGATATTCAGGATTTGAAATCAGCTCTGGACTAAGCGGACCTAATAGACAACTACAGAACTCTCCATGCCAGAAGAACAGAATATACATTCTTCTCCATGCCACATAGCACATATTCTAAAATTGACCACATAATTGGAAGCAAAACACTCCTCAACAAATGGAAAAAATGGCAACCATAACAAACTGTCTCTCAGACCACAGTGCAATCAAATCAGAACTCAGGATTAAGAAACTCACTCAAAACCACATAAATACATGGAAATTGAACAACCTGCTCCTGAACGACTACTGAGTAAATGACAAAATTAAGAGAGAAATTAAGTTTTTTTTGAAACAAATGAGAACAAAGAGACAATGTACCAGAATCTCTTGGACACAGCTAAAGCAGTTTTAAGAGGGGATATGCTAGCACTAAATGCCCACAACAGAAAGCTGGAATGATCTGAAATCGACACCCTAACATCACAATTAAAACAACTAGAGAATCAAGAGGAAACAAATTCAAAAACTAGCTGAAGGAAAGAAACAACTAAGATCAGAGCAGAACTGAAGGAGATAGAGACAAGAAAAACTGTTCAAAATCAATGACTCCACTAGCTGGTTTTTTGAAAAGATTAACAAAAGAGATGGACCACTAGCTAGATTAATAAAGAGGAAAAGAAAGAAGAAACAAATAGACACATTAAAAAATGATAAACAGGATATCACCACTGATTCCACAGAAATAAAAACTACCATGAGAGAATACTATAGACATCTCCACACAAATCAACTAGAAAATATAGAAGAAATGGATAAATTTCTGGACACATACACTTTCCCAAGACTAAGCCAGGAAGAAGTTGAATCCCTGAATAGACCAATAAAAAGTTCTGAAATTGAGGCAGTAATTAATAGCCTACCAATAAAAAAACGCTCAGAACCAGATGGATTCACAGCCGAATTTTACCAGAAGCATAAAGAGCAGCTGGTAACATTTCTTCTTAAACTATTCTAAACAATTGAAAAGGAGGGACTCCTCCCTAATTCATTTTATGAGGTCACCATCATAATGATACCAAAACCTCGCAAAGACACAACCGCAACAAAAATTTCAGGCCAATATCCCTCATGAACATCGATGTAAAAATCCTCAATAAAATACTGGCAAACTGAAACCAGCAGCACATCGAAAATGTTATCCACCATGATCACGTCAGCTTCATCCCTGGGATTCAAGGCTGGTTCAACGTATGCAAATTAATAAATGTAATCCATCACATAAACAGAACCAATGACAGAAACCACAGGATTTTCTCAATAGATGCACAAAAGGCCTTAGATTAAATTTAATATCCCTTCATGTTAAAAGCTCTAAATAAACTACGTATTGACGGAAAAAGTCTCGAAATAATCAGAGCTGTTTATGACAAACCCCTAGCCAATATCATACTTAATAGGCAAGTGCCGGAAGCATTCCCTTTGAAAACCAGCACAAGACAAGGATGTCCTCCCTCAGCACTCCTATTCAAGATAGTATTGGAAGTTCTGGCCAGGGTAATCAGGCAAGTGAAAGAAATAAAGGGTATGCAAATAGGAAGAGAGGAAGTCATATTGGTACCAAAACAGATATATAGACAGAGGGAACAGAACAGAGACCTCAGATTGCAGGGATATGGAGGAAGCTGGAAGCCATCATTCTCAGCAAACTAACAGGAACAGAAAACCAAACACCACATGTTCTCACTCATAAGTGAAATTTGAACAATGAAAACACATGGACACAGGGAGGGGAACATCACACATCAGGGCTTGTCAGGGGGCAAAGTGAAGGAGAGCACTAGGACAAATATCTAATATATGTGGGGCTTAAAACCTAGCTGACAGTTTGATAGATGCAGCAAACCACCATGGCAAATATAAAACTATGTAACAAGTCTGCACATTCTGCACATGTATCCCAGAACTTAAAGTATAAATAAATAAATAAATCTCCAGCAAGGAAGGAAACCAGAGATCAGGTTGGAGTCTTGCTATTCACATCTGAGTATACAGACTCACTCCCCAACTCTCTTATTTTTATTCTGCCAGCTCTGACCTGAATATGAACATAACAAACACACAAGAGTTCCAACACCTGACAATCGGCTTCTGCCCAAGAAGTGTGCCCTCTCTTTTGTCCATCCTGCAACTCATGGTACAAAGAAGTGGTGTGGGGCTGCCCAGATGAGATGATGAGAGAGGCCTGGCCTCGATGGACATGTCCTGGGCTGCTCTGTGTTATCTGTAGGTGCACTTGGCCAATGGCCAGGGGTATCAGGAATGAGGGCTGAGTTGATATCTGTGTTATCAGAGAAGGCTTTTACATTGAGGCTTTGTAAGGCTAGAACTCAGAAATATCAAGGCACAATGAAAGGACATCTCACTCTCTTGAGCATCTCTCACCAACAGAGGTGGATACAGAGCTGTCTCAAGAATGTGGGTTCCTGGTTTCTTAACTGCTGTGGGGTTCTGTCACCAGGAAAGTGTGTTAAACTCTTCAAGGTTCCATCTACTGGGCCCCTTATTTCTGTAAGACCTACCCAAAGGCCCCACTATGCTATTGATTGCTCAGTCTCCTCTTCCATGTCAACTCTTTATTTGTACACAATTATGCAAACACAACTTCCCCTTAATTCCCTGGAAAGACCTAAATGCATCCTGGGTTCCAGGATATAAGAGACAGCTGGAAAATAACCTTGTTTTTCTTACCATCTCTGGGACCTAATAAAAGTCACTGTGTATTTGAGGCTTCCCCAGCCTCCTAGCGTGCACAGTGGGGATAATGTTATCTACTTCCTAGGGAATGTATCAGATGTATATAAGATAAAATGTAAAAATCGTGGTGTAGTTTCACATGTAAATAATGCACACACTTAGAGATGGAAGCATTAGGAGAATAGGTGGGAGGTAGCATGGGCCACAACTCAGGTAGGCCTGGGGTCCAGCAGTGTAATCTTGGGAAAGTCACTTCCCCACTGGGCTTCAGTTTCATTCTGCTGCAGTACGAGGTTGAAATTAAATGTAGATATCATCCTCTGGCACTGATGTGGTTTAGCTGTGTGTCCCCACCCAAACCTCATTTTGTATTATAACCTCCAGGTGTTAAGGGAGAAACCTGAGGGGAGTTGATTGGATTATGGGGACGGGTTTTTCTTATGCTGTTCTTGTGATAGTGAGTGAGTTCTCAAGAGATCTGATGGTTTCATAAGCTTCTGGTGTATCCCCTGCTCTCACTCACTTCACTTGTTGGCCACCATAATTGGAAGGTTTCTGAGCCTCCCCCACCCAATCTTGTGGAACTGTGAGTCAATTAAACCTCTTTTCTTTATAAATTACCCAGTCCCAGGTATTCCATCATTGCGGTATAAAAATGGACTAATACAACTATTAAACTTTCTAGTGACTTCTTATTATATATAGAATTATATCCATGTGCCTTATCTCACCTAAGTTGGGGAAAGCCTTCACAAAGTCTCCCAGCACTAGGTGGTTAGTGACTCAGTTTGTTATTGAACAAAATGACCTACTGCTCGATGCCAGTAGTATGGCACTTGGGTTTTGAGAAAAATGGCATCTTGTTGTAGGTTGGCCAACAGGAGACAGGAGTCCAGCTGAAATCAGTTTCCTTATATAGGCTTTAAGGTGTTGATTAAAAAATGCTTAAGAAGTGGGCTCTGGATTAGGAGGGGATTGCTGGAAGGAAAGTAGTAATATGGAAAGTCATGAGACATGCACAGTCATCTCCTCTTGTTTCCTCACAGGTCACATGAATATTCAGGGAGTGTTAATATGAAACATGCAACGGAAATTTGGGCTCTAACATCAGCAAACTCATTCTCCATGGACTTCAGTTGGCCATATTGCTTCCAACATATTTCAGCCAATTTTTTAAAATCTTATAAGCAGAGGAGATTTAAGTGTTTCAACAAGCTGTTTCTTATCTTTCATTCTGAATATCCAATTTTTAAGTCTTTTTTTTTTAACAGTTTGAAGGCACAAATTCAGCTTCTGTCAAATGGAATACAGAATAGTGTATGACTTTTGTATTAGTTCAGGCTGCTATACCAAAGAACCATGAACTAGACAGCTTATAGACAACAGGATTTAATTTCTCACACTCCTAGAGGTTGGAAATTTGAGATCAGGGTATCAGCATGGTTGAGCTCTGGTGATGACTCTTCTGAATTTCAGACTGCACACATCAAATTTTATTCTCATTTGGTAGAAGGAGACAGACATCCCTCTGGGGTTTCCTGTGTAAAGCCAGTAATCTCAATCATGATGGCCTCAACCTCAGGAGTTAATTACAACCTATCTCCTTATAGCATTACACTGGGGGTTACAATTTTAATACAAATTATTGTAACTCTCAAGTTTTTTTAAAGCTGTCATTATTCCTCCTACTGGGTTTTTCCTATTTGCTTCCTCAGTCTTTCCATTTCTTTATGTCTCTTTGTGTGAAACTGTTTGCCTAATTCTGTCTCTCAATTGTATTCCTCAAACAGAGGAAGCAAGCTCCAATGCTATGAGATGCTCTATGTACAGACGCACATAACAAAGAACGGAGGGAGTGCTCAGGCAGTAGACAGAAGTAAAGTCATGCTCTCAGTCTACCCTGAACCCTGCCAATTTTCACAAGCATGAGCTTAAAGGTTGATGCTTTTCCGGTCCACATTCAGTTGAGACCACAGCCCCAATCTCATAAGAGACCTGAAGGCAGAGGCAGCTAACTAAACTGTGTCCAGATTCTGGTCCACACAAATTGTGAGATACTATATACTATTGAAAGGTGCTAAGTTTTAGGGCAATGTTGTCAGAAAGGAGCAGATATCTAGCCTCATCTCCCAAGCCCCAGGATTCTCCATGCCTCTGCTTATCTCTTCCTCAGGCTGTCTGTACCAAATTGGTCCCTTTCTAATCTCTGCCAAACTCACACCTGTAAGACTCTTCACCAAGGGTGGCTTCTCACTGACACATTCTTGTGCAGAGATGCCTCCCTGTTATCATTCTCATCATGGATTAAAGATCACCTCAGTGAGGACTTTGGGTCCCCCCATTCAATGACTTTGCAGCTCTTCTTCTCAACATTCTACTTTATATAATAGTCCTTGCTCTTTTCTTTTATATATACTTGCTTTAGTGCTTTTGTCGAGCTGACTTCAGACTGTTCTGTCCTTGGAGGGGTATGCAGGCATGATGTAATCATTTTCTGTGCCACATGTTGGACCCACCAGGGTAGCTGGCAAAGGGTGAGTGCAAGGGAAAAAAGATTGGCTAAGTGGGCAATGTGGAAATTGTTGATAATAACATGAGGTGTGTGACTCTTACTTGCTCCAGCTGCTCCAGCAAAGCTCAATAGGCACCAGAAACACAGCAGGCTGTAACCACCTCCAGGCCATCACTAACACTGCAGCCCCATGCAGGAACATTATGGAACAAATCAGGTACCATTGTTTTGTGTCCTCAAGACACTGACTCTTTGGAGTTCCAGAGGACAAAGGAGCAGAATCTGAAGGCTCCAAGTACACTGAGTGACCTTGGAATCCTCCATTGCCCTCTCTTTGCCTCCACCATTTGGAGTGTGCCATTTACTCATGAGGCACCCTCCCCTTATCCAGGGAAATTATTTAATACGACTTTCAAATGAGGAGCTCAAAAACCCAACAGGAACTGGCATTTTCCCATGACTTCAGACTCAGGGTCCAGTGTTCTGACACGTTTAGCTCTATCCCATCTTTATCTACCCAAAATGCCTCTGGAGTGGCCATGCCTCTCTCTGATTTGAAGGGCCTCCAGGGAGTAGAAGCATTTCTGCAGAGTTTCAGAGCAAAGAGTCTTAGTTCACCAATGAAGAATCAAGGCTGGCAGACACTTATGAGTATGTGAAACAATCAAGGTTACCCACTTCGAGCACCCCTATTTATGAGGAAGAAAACAGTCTTCTCTGTAGCCATTGTCTACATTAGGCTGAGGTGGAGCATAGCTCATTTTACTTCCAGCTCTCCACAGAAGTGGATACAGAACCCCAGTCCTGTCCTCTTGAAACCGACCTGGAGAGGACCCCATGTGAGACACAACCCTGGAACTGCTCATTCTCTGTGCCCCTGGATATGTATCTAGGGAAGCGGATGCCCTTGCCTTATGGCAGATCTGCCCGCCCAGCTATTCATTTGTAATACATGGCCTTTAATGCTTTGAAGTGAATTTACTTTACACCTAATTTGTTGAGAGTTTTTATCATAAAGCGATGTTCCTTTTTGGAAAAAAGTTTTATTCGTCTATTTAAATGTTATGCTTGATCCTGGGTCTGTCGTTCTGATCAGAAGCTGACAGGTGCATCCATTCCTAGAGGAGAGCATGAGAACATCAGTTCTCACATTCTGTGAACATGACCTGCTTATGATGTCCACTCTGAGTGTCTCCCTGAAGTAAATTGTGGCCCAGGAACTGTCATCTGTTGTCTTCACTGAATTAGGCCAAGTGTCTGGAAAACTGCGTTATATATATGTGATGAATAAATAAGCCCTAACTACAACCTTTTTAGCTATGTCTGAGTGTGCCTGGGGACTCTTTCCTACAGGATCTCTCTGTTTCAAGGACAAAGTCCAGCTAACAGGAAGCTCAAGTGCCCTTTACAAATGTAAGAACATGTTTGTTTTCTATATGATTGTCCAATTATAGAGGGACATGAGTCACTGTGACATGAAAGACCTTCTGGGGTGAAAGAAGAGAAAAAAGTAATAAATACGAACAATCAGAGCATGCCCCAGCAGGCTTTCCACAAAGCCGAGCATTAGGAAACCACTTTTCATATTGTATGCCATTCATTTCTCACAAAAAACATATAAGGTTGTGGGGGAAAGTTAAATATTAAATTTGAATTCAATTGAACATGGACAAAAGCAATGGTCATTAAGTCCCAGACAGGTTGCATGAGCCGCTTGAAGCATTCATCTGGCACTGTTTTGGAGAAATATCTATTTCAATCTATTCCTATGTGTTAGTTATTGAAAAACCACAGACAATTGCAAAAACAAGATAACCTTTTCAAGTTCCTTGAGCCCAGTTGTGAAGAGCCCTCGTGACTGGGCCTCATGCCAAACAACTCATTACAAAAAGAACTAGGGCCCTAGGCCACGCTGAAACTTCCTAAGACCTCTTCTTGTCTGTGCAGGGATGGGTGACCTACTCTGGAGTCGAGGCTGTTGCTTCCCGGTCTGGTAATGAATCCTCCGCAGTCTGGTGGGCGTAAATATGTATATATGTTTCCCTTCTCCCCTTCCCATTGCAATTTGCTTATTATAGCTGCACTGCCATTTACGTCAGATAAAGCTTGTTTACCCTTAAAGGTTTTTTTGGGTGTGTTTTCTTCTCCCCTTGCATGTCTCTCGTACAGAACAGAGGTTCATTTTACAATTCTCTATAAAGATGCAAATTGAGGCTGATAAAGATGCACTGGTATGCTAAGACACAGTTAGTAGCTGGCAGAGTCACCACTGTGCCTTGGAGAAGACATATGCTCAACTACTAGACAGCTGGTCCAGGAACTACAGAGTGGTGAGGAAGTCCTGGTAAAACTTGAGAAAAATGATAAAAAGAAGAGAGTTTGACCCTGGAAGGCTGCTGTCAGGGACTTCGTCAGCTTCTCCGTTGTGCCTGGTTTGGCGCATTGGCATCATTCACACCTCTAGGTTAAGAATAGACTCATTTCCTCCTGGGGAGGGGACAAGACTTTTCATGGCAAGACCATGAAACACCAGAGGCTTGGAATGTGGAGCTTGGATGAGGAAATCTCCATCCTTCAGAGACTTGGGCATGTGGAGGACATGGGTGTTTATGGTGAAAAAGGTTTTAGGCCTCTGATATCAAATTTAATGTGGAGGTAGAGAATAATTAATCCATGAATACATTCAAGGCCTTCACGATATCATATCAGCTGTAAGACAACAGCACCCACTTGTATTAATAATCTTTATGAAGAGCATTATCCCAGAGAATTCCCAAAAAAACATACTCAGCCTACAAATGAGAAAATAAAGCTTTGTGATGTCAAATGGCTGCTCAGAAAAACACAAGTAAGAAAGAGAATCTTCCACGGTGGGGGTTGCATGAAATTCCCTTTAAGCTACCTGAGGCTCTATGTCTGTCCCTGACTTAGGGGGAAGGGCATGGGGAAGGCTCACTTTCTTTCTGTTTTAGAGACAGGGCACAGGATAAGATACCCTAAGACAACCCTTTTGACTTAAAGCAACTGAACTGGGTCTTTTAAAACCTTAAAGGGAGTGTTGAGAAATAACTACAGCAACCCCACACCTGACAAAGGTGTCAGTGCTTGGGGACTCCAAGGTGAGAGAAACCCCTCACAGGGCCAAGGAATTGAGCGGATTAACTGAGGGAACAGAAAACTCAAATAAGTATAAATCAACTGAAAGGTAACTCAAATATATCAGTTGAAAAATTGAAATAGAAACATGTTTTTTTGCCACATAGATAGCAGATTGACAAAAAAATTAAAAGAATGTTGACAACCAAGAGGTTCTGGATACATAAAAGCAGATAAATTCAGAAACTACTATTTACAGTACGGCTTTCACAACCCTTTTGGAATATATTCCGGCTTTTCCTATTAAACCTTTACACTTTCCTACTGTTTCACTGAGTAATCATTTTCCTGGGAGACTATAATCTACAAGGGATTAGTAAATGTTGTGAGCTAGATTGCATTCCCTTCCTAAAAATTATATGTTCATGTCCTAACACCTAGTGCCTCAGAACGTGACTATATTTGAACATATAGCCTCTGCAAATGTAGTTAGGTTTAAGTGAATTAATTGGGGTGTATCCTAATTCCAGATGACTGGAGCCCTTATTAGAAGAGGCAGGAAGGACAGAAAAGCACAAGAGAAGATCTTGTGAACACAGATATAGTAGATGACGATCTACAAGCCAAGGATGGAGACCTCAGAGAAACCACACAGCCAGTAGCTTGAGGTTGGATTTCTAACTTCCAGAATTGTGCGACATTCAGTTTTTGTTGTTAAAGAACTTCAGCCTGTGGTACTGTATTAGGGAAGTCATAGCAAAGCGTTACAGCCTATTAGGACACAGATAAGATGTTCCCTGTAGCGGCTGGGCGCGGTGGCTTACACCTGTAATCCTAGCACTTTGGGAGGCCGAGGCGAGTGGATCACGAGGTCAGGAGATCGAGACCATCCTAGCTAACACGGTGAAACTCTGTCTCTACTAAAAAAAAAACCACACACACACAGAGAAAAAAAATTAGCCGGGCGTGGTGACAGGCGCCTGTAGTCCCAGCTACTCAGGAGGCTGAAGCAGGAGGATGGCGTGAACCCAGGAGGCGGAGTGCAGTGAGCCGAGACTGCACTACTGCACTCCCACCTGGGCGACAGAGCGAGACTCCGTCTCAAAAAAAAAAAAAAAAAAAAAAGATATTCCCTGTAGCATGGCTGAAGTGGAAATATAATTTATTATGTCAGGCTCCACCAGTATTAAAAGCCTAAATTACTGAGGGAAAGGCCCCACTTATGGAATCTTATGAAGACATATGAGGACACAGCTCCTGTCCTGATGGGGCTATAGAGGTGGGCTCTGGGACACATATGTAAAGAGTCATATAAGACCCTTTTGCATAACTCCCACTTTTTGGGTGAAACCTCTCTCTAGTAACAGTGTGAACTTCTAAGACTTAGAGAAGGTCTGGCAAGGCAGCGAAGCTGCCTGCTCCAGGAAGTATGTGGGGTGGGTAGATATAACAATAAAAATAATAGCAACATGCAAAGATACTCACAACTTAATGTAAAGTAATAACAACACAAAAGTGTTTCTTTTGACATTCCTGCAAGCATATGACCGGGGACTGTGCACCTAAGTTGCCATTATGGACTAATGGAGGCCAAATTCCTCTGGGAAGGAACTGTGGGTCCTTAATGGAGAAAGCCCTAAAACGGTTTCTGGGGAATCCTCACATTTGGGTCAGGGTCCTGGGCTTCCCTGGTCTTTTCCATTTGGAGACCTCTCTGTGCCCACCTTGACTCCAGACTAGCACGGGCCATGGTTGTTGGCATGATGCACCTGCCTTTTGTTCAACGAGATGGAGTAGTTGGACTCATCAAACAGCTCCTCAGGGATCTCCTCAATAGAGTTCTGCAAAGAGAGTGCCTGGAAGCCTGGCCAAGAGGCATCAATGGCATCCTGGCTTTCCCCACAGGGGAAATTCCAGTTAGAAAGTCTACTCCCCAGATCAGGCACATAGGAGCATTTGCGCAGACCTCCAGCCAGGGAGAAAACAAGAGGACAGCTTGAAGCCTTAGAATAAATGTCTGAACAAACAAAGGTGACCCCCAGCACTCACCTTCCCCTCCTGCCAACTGTAACCTGCGGTATAAATTTGACAGGCTTTTAGCCTCCCAATACCTGGAAACCTGCTCCTGTCAAGAAAGGACCCATTATCTCTTTCTTTCCCACGAGACGTGGAGATGAGGAGGGATGTGTGCCTGCCGAGATGATATCAAAGGTGAGGCCTGGCCTGGATAGGCCTGCCATGGGTGGCCTTGTGTTATCTATGGGTAACCCTTTCCAAATGGCCAGAAGAGCCAGCAGTGCAGAATGAGCACTGTCTCCATCATAAAAAAAAATTCTCTCTGTTCAAGCCTTCCTGAGATGAGAGCCTCAGAAATTCAAGACATAGCAGGAGAACATCTTGCTGTCTTCAGAGTCTCCTTAGTAAATACAAAGCTGTCTCTAGAATTAGGGCTCCAGGTTACCAGAGTTCTAAACTTTCTTTGAGTTTGTAACTAAGGAAGTGAGGTCACTTCGAGATTCCATCACCTGGGCTCCGGTGCGGGAAATGAACGAGGGGAAAAGAAAAGGCACCCACAATAGTTTTAAGGATAAATAGCGTTTATCCCAAGTGTATGGCAATACAGACATGATAAGCAAATAATATAATAAGCAAATTGCAATGGGAAGGACAGAAAGAAAAATATATATGTATATTTATATACATATACATGTATATAAATATACATATATGTATATGTATATTTACACGCACCAGACTATGGAGGATTCATTACCAGACTGGGAAGCAACAGCCTGGGCTCCAGAGTCAGCCACCTGTCCATGTACAGATGAGGAGAGGTCTCATGAAACTTCAGCACAGTCTGGGACCCTAGCTCTTTTTGTAATGTGTTGTTTGGCATGAGGCGCAGTCACAGGTGCCCTTCACAACTGGGCTCAAGGAACACAAAAGATCAACTTGTTTTTGCAATTGTCTGTTGTTTTTTCAATAACTAATGTATAGGAATGGATTGAAAGATTTCTCTGAAACAGCGCTGGATGAACACCTCAAGGGGTTCATGCAACCTGTTCCAGGACTTCGTGACCATTGTTTGTGCCCATGTTCAATTGAGTTCATATTAAATATTTAACTTTTCCTCCACATTAGATTCCCAATTCTCAGAACCATGTCCACTGCCACAGGGCCTGGCTGGGAATATTGTCACTCATAGAGTTTAGAAGATGGAATGCTGGTCAGTGATGATGCTAGGGTGTTAGGTGAAGGCAGCCGGGACAGTCCCTCTAGGTTGAGGGAGGAGCTGGCCTCTCTTGTGGGGTCCTTGGCATGTCATTGCCGCTTTGGGCCTCTGTTTTCTTATGTGGAAAATGTAGGAATGATGAGCCTGTTGGGCAGGCCTCACAAGGTGGTGATGGGGCTCAGGGAGACAGAGAATCTGAGGGTGCTTGTGTCTGGCTCATCCTGAGAGGGATGATGGTGACAGCAATCATGACAACCACATGAAACCGAGGTGGTAAGAGGCCTTGTGAGGTAGTTGGTTCCCACCACACTTTCCAGTTGAGGAAACAGCTCAGGGAAACCCGACTGCATGCCCAAAATGACACATCCAGGGAGTGTTGGACCTGGGAGTGAGTCTAGAGTCAGAGCTTACTGGAGATGATCAGAGCATTGGACAAGCTGACTCAGGCCACTTATCCGTGTCCAAGGTTAGTGTAGCTGAGGCGTAACTGAAAGAAGCATATTTTCACTGACCTTGTCCCTCATCCTAGCAGGTGAACAGCGTACAAGTTGTCTACCCTGTAGCGGAGCCCCAGAGAGCTTAGATGAGGCTGTGACAGCAGAAGGTGAATGTGTCTGTGATGGGGAAGGGCTCCAGGGTTTCAGAGAACAGAGCTTACTTCTCCCAGCTGGAAACCTCCAAATCAAAAAAGCAGAGGGCCTTTCTACTCCAGCCCTTTTCTCCTGGAGCTGCAGTGCCTAAAACACGTTCATTAGACAGACCAGAGCAAGGCCTGGGAGAGCTGGGCTCCGTGTGGCTTTTAAAATAGGTGGAGCCAGGGACCACATGACCTTGTGGCTTGTTAAAATCCCACCAAGGAGGTAATTATGGTGAGGTTGGTGGCAATAGAGGCCAGCTAATGGGAAGACATAGAGAATTGGGAAAAGGCAGCTGAGGGTTCTCAGCTACTCCAAGTGGGTAACCTAGGTAGAGGGCGCCAGGAGGCAGGGGTTTATAAGATTTCAGCGGACAGGACTTGGGTGGGCACCTCCCAAGTCATGCCCTCTCTGGGGACATTCCTCACTGATGTGGTGATGCTGGACATTGCCATGAAGGAGTGTGTGGATGTGAGTGAGCCTGGAGCAGACAGGTCAGGGACCAGGATCCTGAGGCCTGGGAGAAGAGAGTCTTGAACTGAGCTCCTAGATCCCAGTCCTTGCCAAAATTTTTTGCGAGGGCCTCGCAGCCCTCCTCATCCCGTAAACAGGGTATTTTACTCATGAGTGATGGAGGCTCCACAGCAGCCATCAGTCCCACTCCCTGAGTAGTGAAGCTGCAGAGCTGCAAGACCTCTTTTGTGCACATTCCGTGACCCTGGTGGCTCTGGTGGTGGTGAAGCTTGGAAATCGCTGGAAATGGAGGCTAGTTATGGACCAGCGGACCTTTCTGATGGTCTTTGGCTTTCTGTCTTCCAGAGAAATGTGATCAAAACCCAGAAAAACAGAAAGGTGAGCAGTAGCTGAAGTCCTCACTTTGAGGGAGGGTGGAGGTGGAAATGAGAAATCACCCTGGGCAGGACATTCCCTGGTCCCTTCTTCCGCATCTAAGATTTATTGAAAGGGAGTAATACACAGAGAAGGAGGAGACCTATCCTAATGCAGGGTGCAATCAGGGGAGTGAAGTTGATGACAACTTCCTAGAGGAAGGGCCGTTTACATTCAACTCTGAGAACCAGTTAGGGCTGCATGATATTGGAGGGGAGGTGAGAGCCCCTTAAAAGAAACACCTCAGAGACCAGCCCTCCTCCCTTCTTTTATAAGGCCCCTACAGAGTCTTTCACCCAGGCCCTGTCAGCATCCTGTCTTTCCCTCTGTCTCCAGAAGATTAAAGTCCTCCAGGAGATGCAGCAGTTCCACACAGCTGGAAACCATCATCATCTTCAGACTCAAGAGGAATTTCGGGCTTGGTTCCAAGCCTGGAGCAGCACAATCAGAATAAAAGGCAAAGACCTAGCAGATGAGCAGAGGGTAGGAGGGGAGACTGTCTTGCCGCCAGCCTCACACAGCCTGTGGCCAGGGTTCCCTGGCCAGCATCAGGTCCTGTTGCACCTGGACTCCAGCTGCTGGGGAGGAACTGGGGGACCTGAGGTGTGGCTTCTGGAACCTCACAGCTGTCACTCTTCTCTGAAGTTGCTAGCCATGAAGAACAGGCTGTGATAAAATCTCAGAGCCATTAAGTGCCTGTTGTTGGAATTGCTTTCATGGCTCATTGAAGTTTGTACTAAGCATGGGCTCTGGCAGTCAGGCAGCTCGAGTAGGGTTCCAGCCACACCATTGACCAGCCCTGCGAGTGGGGCAGAAAGCTCACTGCTTTGGCACTTGAGGCATCACGTCGTAAATTTAATGCAACCAATCCCCTTTTCACTGTTACCTACCTTTCTCTATAATCACCATGACCTGATCTCTGCTAGCATTTTTCTTAAAATGGATAAACATATGTTATATAGTATATATTATTCTTCCTCATGATTTTTTTGTTATATTGTCTCTTTCCACTCATATGAGATATTTACAGCAGTTAAGTTCATAGAAACACGAAGTAGAAGAGTAGTTTCCAGGGACTACACAAAGGGCAATGGAAGGAGAGTGTTGTTTACTGGGTACAGAGTTTCACTTTTAAAAGATTGAAAAACAGTTCCTTATGAACTTGGACAATGGTTGCAAAACAATGTGAATGTATTTAATTTCTTTAAACTGCACACAAAAAAAAAATAAAATGGTTAATTTCATGTATTTTTATATTTTACTAAAAGGTAAAAACTACTTTCTAAAATGAACAGACTATAGCTATTTGCAACTGGTGGGTGAATATCACAAATGTAATGTTGCATAAAAGAAAGCAGACATGCCAGTTTGGGCAACATGGTGAAACCCTGTCTCTACCAAAAATACAAAACAATTAGCCGGGCATGGTGGTGCAAGGCTGCGGTCCCAGTGACTCAAAAGGCTGAAGTGGAAGGATATCTTAAGCCTGGTAGGCAGAGGTTGCAGTGAGATCATGCCACTGCACACCAACCTGGGGAAAAGAAAGAAAGAAAAAAGAAGAGAGAAAGAAAGAAGGAAAGAAAGAGAGAAAGAAAGAAGACAGAAAAGGAAAGAAAGAAAGAAAACAGAAAAGGAAATAAAGAAAACAGATGTACAAGTATACATACTATATAATTTTGTTTATATAAAATGCTACAATCAAATAAAACTGAGGTTCTGACTTCCACTAAGTGTGGACTAGCTTGTTGAACTCTCACAAATAACAATGATGAAACTTGAATAAAATATATTATTATAGAAAAACGCCTATGCATAATACATATATGATATGTGTGTTTAACAACTGAATGAAGATTTCAGCTATACCCACTGTAGCAGACACAAGCATTGGTTTGACACTAGCCCAATGAACCCTGTTTATAAAACAAAAGTCTTCAAGGTAAAACAACAAAATCCAGAGTTTCTATTCTATAATTATCATTTATAGTTTCTAGTGCACAATTTTAAAATTCATAAGACTTGTAAAGAAACGTGAAAATGTCATCCATACACAATATCAAAAGCAGGCAGTAGAAGCTATCCCAGGATGTTGCAATCAGCAGACAAGAATTTGAAGGCAGTTTTTATGAATATGTTCATGGGGAAAAAAGAAAATATTCTATTCATAAACAAACAGATGTGGAACTTCAGCAGAGAAATGAACATATATATAAAAAAATTATAGATAAGGAAATGAAAAAAATCTTTTGCGTTTAGCCATAGATTTAAAACAGAAGACACAGCAATAGAAATTATCCAGTCTGGGAAAAAAAAAGTACAAAAAGTTTAAAGGAAATGAACAGAGCTCTCGAGACCTGTGGAATGACTGAGTCTAAGGAGAAGGGAGAGACAAAAAAAATTAAATAGGGAACAAAAGTAAATCAACAACTAATAGCGGAATACTTCCAAAAACTGTCCAAATACCTAAATATTTATATCCAAAAGGTCAATAAATACAAAACAAAATACAAATAAAACCACAGCAAGGCCATATCGTGGTTTATGAAACAGGCAAGGCAGGGCTTTTGCTTGACTTGCTATGATATCTAATTGCTACTATTTATGGATATATGGAAATAAATACTAAATAGAATGGGAGATAGGTTATTCTCAGAGTTTTTTTTTTTTTTTTTTTTTTGCAAAGATGACTGTTATTAAAGGTAGATGACTTTCCAGCATGTCGAAAGGGGCGTGGCAGGGGAGGGGCGAGGAGAAGGGTCGGGGCTGAGGGAGGGGCCCTGCAAAGGTCTGGGCGCGCCCAGCTCCCCGAGAGCAAGCGTTACGGCAACACTGGGCAGGCTGTTAGAGGCTCCCGGGCTCTGTCTTGTCAGAGAGAAATCAAACTTCAGGCACAAATAGTCGTACAACTGGCACGTGGGGAGACTGTGTCACAATTACAAGTGAGACCACCTGCCCTGGCCACGCTGTCTCCTCGCACGCAGAAGTTTGGGAACAGATAGGCTCCCCTCAGCAGGGCGGAATTGCACTGGAAACATGGAGGGGCGGAGGAGAAGATGAAATTATCCCCGCAGTGTTGGAACTGTAGTCTCAGAGAAGATGAAATTTTCCCCGTAGTGTTGGAACTGTAGTCTCAGATCCACTCCCAGCCTTTCTGTCGCGGCAGTCGGACTATGATCCCAGCATGCGCTGGGCTTAGGGGAGGTTCCCAGCCCTGGAGGAAGGGTCAACAGGGTGGGTCCCTCGCAAGGCGTCCTGGGAGTCATAGTCCTTAAACGGTTTCCAGCACGTTGATCGCAAGGCTACCGAACTACAATGCCAGCATGCACCGGGATTGGGGCGGTGTGTAACGCTGGAGGGAAGGATAGAGAGGCGCGTCCCTGGCCAGGGATGCTGGGAGTTATGGTCTCTTAACGGTTTCCAGCGATGGCCCCCGGCCTGCAGACTACAATCCCAGCAGCCACCGGGCTTCGAGGCGGTGTGTAGCACTGAAGGGAAGGATAGGGAGGTGCGTCCTTAGCCAGGCGTGCTGGGAGTTATGGTCTCTTAACAGTTTCCAGTCAGTTGGTCCCAGGACTACCTGACTACAATCCCAGCATGCGTTGGGCTTGGGGGCGGTGCGCAGCCCTAGAGGAAGGATCGGGACGGCGGGTACCTCGCAAGGCATGCTGGGAGTCATAGTCCTTTCAGTATTTCCAGCCCATTGGTCGCGAGGCTAACGGACTACAATCTCAGCATGCGCTGGGTTTGGGGGCGGTGTGTAGTATGGAAGCGAAGGATAGGGAGGCGCGTCCCTAGCTAGGAGTGCTGGGAGTTATGGTGTCTTAACGGTTTCCAGCCCATTGGTCGCCGACCTGCTAACTACAAAACCAGCATGCGCTGTCTGTCCTCCCCCGTGGTGCGCAGCCCTGGAGGGAGGGACAGGGCGGTGTGGACTCGTCCTTTCCTAAGCGATGCCACATGCTGATTCTGTGCCACCCCCTCGCCAAGGGAGTCCGCAGAAGGACTTGAGGGGCAGGTCTAGGCTGGGCGATGAGGACGGTGTGACCCTGCGAAGTGCACCTCCCTTGCTCAAATCGGAGGTGTCTGGTCCTCACTGCACAGCCCACTGCACATCTCGGTGTCCTCTCACATACACACCAGTGGGGGGTTTCCAGAGCATCGCACCTCTTCCAGCCCAGGGAGCCGCCTGCTCTGCTAAACTCTATGGGAACTGAGACATCCACCTGCTGCGTGACCCACCCGTGCGCAACTTCAGAGCTTTCAGGGGGTGATGCGGGCTGTGGCTCCTTCGTGAAAATGTCACCGTCTGCAGCGCCTTTCTTGTGATATAGAACTTGACGGGTGAGAGCGGGTATTTCTTGGGTTACTCAGGATCTGCTAACAGCAGAGGAGAAAACCACAATTCCCAGGCACAAGAATCTACCTAAAGACGATGGTTTAGATATTTTACAGTTGAAATCACCAGCCTCATCTCAACTGAGTCCTGACTGACGAGTGTCTCAAAAAAGCAGTTGGTGACCTCATCCCTCAGGAACAGGTGGTGCTCCAGCTTTGTGGGGATGACTTTCAAGGTGCAGAGCACTTGAGCCGCATTTGAAGTCATTCATGTTTTACATCTCTGCTTTGGATGGAAAGTTGATCCCCCACAGCCGTTGGGGATGTACCTTAATATACTGGGGCTTATCAGTTAAATTTTTCTGTCTAGACAATGAAAACCCAGAAGTTCCACTTGCAGGTAGCCTCTTAATAATCGACGTTCCTAAGTTCCTTATGTCCTCAGGATAGTTCCTTTTGTTCCCAGATGTTACCAACTTTGATGATGCATCTAATCTGTACAAACCTGTGTATTTCTCTATGTGAAAAGAATACTTTGTTCAAATTACATGTTCTTATAATTTTCACTTGTGATCGGTGAGTATGGGACACTATAAAAAAATCCTGAAAAACCTCATCATAGCAATTGAATCACGTTACTGTACTTTATGAGGAATTAACCCCTTCAGGATGAATTACTCATGGGTTCATCAGCACATTTGTGAAGAAAGGAAGAAAAACTGTATGGCCTTTATGAAATTGGAAAAATAAAGAACTATATATAGGAGGACCACAGCACAATACTAGGGCCCTTCTCTTATTTTAAATAGACTCTATGGTGTCGAATGCCTGCATTCCTAACCTATCCTGCAGTATTCTCATCCTACTCTTCACTGTGTATTTAGGTGGGGGTTTCTGAATTCACTTGTCCACAGCGTTAGTGGGGATGTTGTAACGTGAGGGTATCCATCATCTATCATCTTAATAATTAATGAAGAGAAGAGCCTTGAGATCTGTCTTCAGATACACTGCTGCCGAGTATGTGCCTGCAAAGACACTGCCCACACCGGTGGTCTCAGAAAGTTGAACCTGATGCCACCACAAGCTGCTGTTCACAGATCTAGGTGCTCCTTGTGATTTGAGTCTCCTGCTTACATTTGTGGTTGTGAACCTGCTATGCTCACCCCATTTATGGTAGTATATTTTGTGTCACCTTTTCTATTCCATTTGTTTCCTGGGAACTCACTGTGTAACTGCAATTCAGAGAATATGTAGGGACTCCACCCCCGACTACCTAAGTCACTGTACACTGGTCACATTTGTGTCATGTTTTCAGACTACACACTCTTCCTCTCTAATGGAATTTGTTGAAGAAATATAGTTGCCCTGTAGATCTCCTCAGTGTAATGTGGCTGGGATTGATTATGAAGCTGGGCATGTTGTCCTTGGCCTCATAGACATTATTCAAAATACCTTTCCCATATTTTGAAGTTTGATACTACTTTGTTAATGTGAACACTTGCCATAGCAGGCTCTATTAAATATCTCTGTGAATTTAACTGTCAAAACAACTTATGAAGTAGGCACATGATCCCCATTTTACAGGTGAGGAAACAAATGTTCCAAGATTTTGAGTAATTTTATTAACTTTACACAGCTTTCTGGTGCATTTTGAATCTTAAGTTGGATCTCTTTCTCCACAATGTGTGGGCTTACCTCCTTTTCTATTTTGTGCCTCTCTGCTAGCATCTGCAAGGGTACATTTTATTTTTAGTACATCTTCCACTTGATGGTAGGAAACTTGACAAACAGATCCTTAGTGGGAGAGGAAACTCACTGGCATTTGTCCTTCTCTCTGCTCCTTCTTACCCTGGCAGGCATGAGACTTATCAAGTGAGATGGAGCAGTGGTAGATCCTGACCAGTCCTCACCTGGAATATTTGTTATTATAAAAAAATAGTCCTCTCATTTTTTACAAGTGTAATTTCTTTGCCTTAAAGTTTTGTCTGGGCTTTCTCTTACAGGTTCCTGCGAATGAAGTTGCAAATATTGATGAAGATAATACTACTGCCTTGCTGTCAAACAGTAACAGTCACCTTTTTTTCTATCTCCAATTATAAATGCAATACATACTGTAAAAAGAAAAGAAAACATCATAAATATCTTTATAAAGTAAAAGTCTTGGCTGGTCTCTGGGAGCAGTGACTCATGCCTGCAATCTCAGCACTTTGTGAGGCCGAGGTGGGTGGATCATGAGGTCAGTAATTTGAGGCCAGCCTAGCTGACATGGTGGAACCCCATCTCTACTAAAAAATACAAAAATTAGCTGGTCTCGGTGGCGGGTGCCTATAATCCCAGCTACCCACGAGGCTGAGGCAGGAGAATCACTTGAACCCAGGAGGCAAATGGTGCAGTGAGCCAAGATCGTGCCATTGCACTCTAGCCTGGGCAACAGAGTGAGACTTCATCTCAAAAACAAAACAAAACAAAAAACTTGGTTGGCCTAGTGGCTCAATCCCAGCACTTTGGGAGCCCAAGGCAGGTGAATTGTTTGAGCCCAGAAGCTCAAGACGAGTGTGGGCAACATGGTAAAACCCTCTCTCTACAAAAATACAAAAATTAACCAGTTGTGGTGATGTACACCTGTATTCCCAGCTACTAGGGAGGCTGAGGTGAGAGGATTGTTTGAGCCTGGGAGGCCAAGATTGCAGTGAGCTGAAATCACACCACTGCGCTTCCATGTGGGCAACAAAGTGAGACCCTGACTCAAAAAATAAAAACACATTAAACTGAAAGTCCCCTTTATTCCCTTCTCTTCAAACTCACCTTTTTTATTTGAAAAAACTGTTAAGAGGTTGTTTTTCATTCTTCTGGCTAAGTTGTATAAATTTCTTTTTTTTTTCGAGACAGACTCTCGCTCTGTTGCCCAGGCTGGAGTGCAGCGGCGCGATCTCAGCTCACTGCAAGCTCCGCCTCCCGGTTTCACGCCATTCTCCTGCCTCAGCCTCCCGAGTAGCTGGGACTAGAGTTGCCCGCCACCACACCCGGCTAATTTTTTGTATTTTTAGTAGAGACAGGGTTTCACCGTGGTAGCCAGGATGGTCTTGGTCTCGATATCCGGCCCCCTGATCTGCCCACTTCGTCTTCTCAGAGTGCTGGGATTAGAGGCGTGAGCCACCGCCCCCGGCCTGTTCTATAAATTTCTAAGTGATACACATAAAGTTTATTTTAAAAATTACATCACACTACATTAAAATTTACTCTTTCTCCAGGTGTATTCCATCTATTTATCTATCTATCTATCTATCTATCTATCATCTATCATATATCTATCTATGACAAGGCCTTGCTCTGTCACACAGACTGGAGTTCAGTAGCTCAATTATGGCTCACTGCAGACTCAAACTCTCAGGATCAAATGATTTTCTAACTTCAGCTTCTGAAGTAGCTGGGAGTACAGGTGCATGCCACTACTCCTAGTTAATTTTTAGTTTTTGTTTGTTTTTTTCTTTAAACAGGGTCTCACTGTGTCACCTGGGCTGGAATGCAATGCATAATCACAGCTCACTCTAGCCTTGACCACTCAGGCTCAGGCAATTCTCCTGCCTCAGCCTCCTGAGCAGATGGGACCACAAATGTGTATTAACACACTTGGCTGTTTATTATTATTTGCAGAGACAGGGTCTCCCTATCCTGCCCAGGCATGTTGTGAACTCTTGTGCTTAAGCAATCTGCTACCTCGGCCTCCAAAATTGCTGGAATTAAAGGTGTGAGCCACCACAACTTACCCAGGCTTTTTACTTTGTGTAAGAATAGCATCAGTGTATTAAAAATACAGTGGAAATTATTTATGGTGTCTTTTCAATTCTTATGCATTAAAGTTCTCTTATTAGAGCCTTTTATTAATGGTTATAGTGTATTTTCTGTGAAATTTTACTGTCACACACTGCATGCCAATGATTCAAGATACCCGAACTTCATGAATGCACAGTCACAGTAGAATATTTTAGTTATCTAAAAAGTATTTTCATAAATGATATATCAAGTTTATATGCAAGGTAGCCTGGTCTGGTAGCAGGTGCTTGTAATCTCAGTGAAGGCTGAGGCAGGAGAATGGTTTGAACTCAGGAGGCGGAGGTTGAAATGAGCCGTCGTCTCACCACTGCACTTCAGCTTGGGTGACAGAGTGAGACTCTGTCTCAAAAAAAGAAAAAAACTTTGCTTGCAAGATTTTATGAGTAAATATGTTTCTTATTTTTCTTTACAATTCCATATTACTGTCTCGATTATTTAGAATAGGTTCCAGGGCAGCAGTTGATTTTATTTTGGGTTTTACTTATGTATTATAACTTTGGATGTTATAATTTCCAACTCTGCCTGTACACTTCAAGTCAATGTGGATTTTTAAAAAAATGTTAATAGTACAAACTATTCATAGATTCAACTTCATAATGTTAAAAGCAACGGCAGCTCCTGGTTTAAAAAGGAAACGGTGGAAGCAGCCGGCCATTTGATTTAAAATCGCGTTAGATTTTTCAGATGGATGATAGTTAAGATCATTAAATCCCATTACTGCTTCTAAGATTTCCACAAAATAGCACATTAAATCCTCAGTCCTAAGCAATCACGACAGAAATTCAAAATTGCCTCTCGATGTCAAGGTAAACAGCGCACTATCTTCTCTTGCAATAAAGGTACATCATTTGATATACAAGGGAGCATAGCAGTCAGACACTTACAAGATCGTGCTGTAGAAATAACTTCCATGTTTTCATCCGCCATGTGTATCCTCACCTCTGTCTCCCATGCAGTAACACTATCAGTTTCCTCATCTGTCCTTTCTACTTTCTTTGAAAGAGGATGCTGATTGCAGAGAATACATGACAGAGGCATTTCAAATCAGAAAGGAGTGTCTTGAGATATACGTGATTTTAGTTTTAAGTAGAATGTCCTGAAGAGTTTTAGTTACAATACCACCTTCAAGAGGATGGTGGTGAAATTCATAGTAAACATTTGGCAAAATATAGGTTATGAGGCAGCCATCTCCTAGAAACACTTCATCGGGGTTTATATATGAAATGTGAAATATCGTAGGTTTAATCCTGGCACAGAACCAAAACTGAGTGCATTGCACTTGAACAGCTGACCAATCCCCAGCACAGGTCCATACGAAGAAACGGAGAAGAAAGAATCCTTTTAACCACAGAAAGGGCTTCATTTGCCCAAACTGAAAACCAAATTTCACTCAGGAAACTAATGTTGGGTTTAATTAAAATATAAATCGGTCATACGTTTTCAAAATTAAATTATATATGTGTTTGTCTCTATAAATATGTCCCCAACTTTGCTCATGGCTTATCTTCCATATTTTTTGGCTGATTTTCAGTGGTTGTCTTATCTTGTGTGGATGAATAGTCATTGAAATAATCTTAATTTCACAATGTGTTTAATTATAAATCTATACTTCCTTTGTGTGAGAGAAAATCTTTTGTGAACAAAATTTAATTTTTGGAAAGCTTTATAAGTCCATATTTTTCCTTTTAAAAATTGCGATTGTGGTAAAAACACATAATGTAAAATTTACCATTTTAATTCTTTTTAAGTGTATATTTCATTAGCGTTAAGTACATTCACATAGTTATGCAAAAGATCTGTAGAACTTCTATGTCTTGCAAAACTAACATTAAATGTCTTTTAAGACAATTGCCCATTTTACCATCTCTTTAGTCCTTGACAAACACCATTCTAACTTTTTTTTTCTATGAGTTTGTCTACTTAAGATACCTGATTATGAATGGAATCATAGACTGTCACTTTGTTCCTGGCTTATTTCAGTTAACGTGATATTCTCAAGAATAATCATATAATGTGACTTTTTAAAGACTGAATAATATTCGACTTTGTGTATGTGCCACTTGTTGTTAATCTCTTCATTGGTCAAGGGACAGCTGGGTTGTTTCTGCCTTTTGGCTTGTGTTAGTAATGCTGCAATAAATTTGGGTGTGCAAATATCTCTTCCGGATCATGTGTTGTATATTTTAAATACATAGCCAGAATGGGGTTTGCTGGATTGTATAATAATCTCATTTTAAATTTTTTGAAGAGCTTTCATACTGTTTTAAAAATAGGTTTGATGTGATAGATTATTGTGACTTTTCTTTGTATTTTTCTAGAAGAGAGTTGTCGAGTATCCTTTTAAATGCCTAGTCATTTCTATGTCTTCTTTGGAGAAAGTCATTTCAAACATGTGCCATTCTAAATCAAGTTATTAACTTTTTTTGTTGTTGAGTTTTAGGAATTTATATATTTTGAAAATTAACACCTACCAAATATGTGATTAGAAAATATTTTTACTCTTTTTAGTTATATGTATGTATGTATGCATATATATAACCCTATACAAGACAGGGTCTTGCTATGTTTTCATGGCTAGTCTCAAACTTTTGGCCTCAAGTGATTGTTCTGCCTTGGCCTCCTAAAGTTGTAGAATTAAAGGCATGAGACACCATGCCTAGCTTTCACCCACTTATTAGGTGACGTTTGTATGGCACTAAATGTTTTATTTGATGTGTAGAATAGTTGAAGCTTAATGTAGTCCCTTTTCTTGGTCGTTGTTCTTTTCCTTGTTGCTTATGAATTTGATGTCAAACTTAAGGAAAGAGTTTTAAGACTTATGTCATAAACTTTTCCCTTATGTTTACTTCTAAGAATTTTATTAAGTTTTATGTTTAAGTATTGAATTCATTTTAAAAACTTTTCTTTTTATATATGATACAAAGGAAGCATCCAACTTTATTTTTTTCTCTGTAAATATTCATTTTGGAAAACTCTTTGTTAAATGGATTCTTATTTTTCTATTGTGTGGTCATGGAAAGCTTACGGAAGATTATTTTATCACATATGCAAGGGTTTATTTCTGGGATCTCTGTTCTGTTTCGTCATCTATGTATCTGTTTTTGTGGCAATACCACATTGTTTTTATTTTTGTAGCTTTGTATCATGATTTTGAATCAGAAAATGTAATACCTCTTTGTTCTTTTTAAAGGGTGTTTGGCTAGTCACCTGTCCTAAGCAACGTTTAGAATTATACACAAAAATTCTGCAAAAAAAATACCATTGGGATTTTGACAAAAATTACCTTACATTTTTATATCATCATGAGTAGTACTGACAACATTTTTTTTTTTTTTTTTGGAGATGGAGTTTTAGTGAGTCACTCAGGCTGAAGGGCAGGGGTGCGAGATGTGCTCACTGCAGGCTCCGCTTCCCAGGTTCAAGCAATTCTCCAGTCTCAGCCACCAGAGTAGCTGGGATTGCAGTCGTGCACCATCACGTCTAGCTAACTTTTGTATTTTTAGTAGAGATAGGGTTTTGCCATATTCACTAGGCTAGTCTCAAACTTCTGATCTCAAGTGATCCACCCACTTTGGCCTCCCAAAGTCCTAGGATTACAGGCATGAGCCTCATGCCGGCCCTGACATCTTAACAATATTAAATCACCTGACACTTAAGCAAGACTATATGAAAGATTTTGCTTAATTTCCTCTTATTTACATATTTGCCACATTTTCTTGCTTTTGAATTCTAGTTTCATTTACATTGTATGGCTTCACTTTTCTTAAATTTAATAAGACATGTATCCTAACAGAATGTACCATGTGTGATTTAGAATATTGCAGATTTTGCTCCTTTAAATTGGAGAGTTCTGTAAATGCTGGTTGGGTCTATAATGTTCAGGTTTGGCTTTCTTACTGATATTACTTCTGACTATTCTAGTCATTACTGAAAGTGGAGTCTTGAAGTCCACCATTGTTGTGTTGCTATGTATTTCTTGCTTGACTTCTGTCAATATTTGTTTTACATATTTGAAAGACGAGAATCAGTTGAACCTGGGAGGAGGAGGTTGAAGTGAGCCTATCGAGAGATCATGCCACTGCCCTCCAGCCTGAGAGAAAGAAACTCTGTCTCTAAAAAAAAAAAAAGAAAGAAAGATGTCAGTGCTATTTATAGTAATACAAAAATTTAATGTAATTTTTGTCAAAATCTCAGTGGTATATTTTTGCAGATTTTTCAAATTATATATATATGATTTATAAATTATTGTTATAGATTCCTGGAAAGTTAATCCATCTCACCATTACATAATACCAATCTCTCTCGGCCGGGCGCTGTGGCTGACGCCTGTAGTCTCAGCACTTTGGGAGGCCGAGGCGGGTGAATCATGAGGTCCAGAGATCGAGACCATCCTGGCCAACAAGGTGAAACCCCATCTCTACTAAAAAGTACAAAAATTAGCTGGGTGAGGTGGCGGCGTGTGCCTGTAGTCCCAGCTACTCGGGAAGCTGAAGCAGGAGAATCGATTGAACCAGGGAGGTTGTGGTTGCAGTGAGCCGAGATCGTGCCACTGCACTCCAGCCTGGTGACAGAATGAGACTCTGTCTCCAAAAACAAAAACAAAAACAAAAACACAATACCAATCTGTCTCTTGTTCATATTTTTGATTTAAAATATATTTTGTTTAGTATAATTATGACCATGACCCTCCAATTTTAGCTACTCTTTGCATAAAATATATTTTCTTTATACTGTTACTTTCAACTTATTTGAGTCCTTAGAGCTGAAGTGACTCTTGTAGAGAGCAAATTGCTGGATCTTCTTTGTTCTTAATCCATTAAATTATTTATTAATTTTCTTTAAGGTATTTAACTTTTTATATTTGAAGGAATTACTGCATTTAATGAAGTTACTTTATTATTTGTAATTGTCTTCTGTGTTTCTAGTAGATGTGTTATTTATCATTTTTTCTCTTACTGCTTTATTTCTGTTTGTTGATTTTGTAGTGACGTGATTGAATTTCTTTCTCATTTGCCTTTGCATACATTCTACAGGTTTTTTTTGGTAATCATCCTGAGAAATAAAGACTTCATAAATCATCTTAAAGTTATGACAGTATAGAACAACTATATTTCAACTGAATGCAAAGTTGTACGTCTTGACACCCCCACTGTTTTATTAATATCGCATATTATCTTTCCTTATGGTCTATGATCACAAATTTATGCAGATTTCTGCCTCATGTTTTAAACTCCATGGCAATATTTTGAAAGTTTTTTGCACCATGATTATGACAGTAGAGATTTCTTTACCTGTTTATATATTTACCTTTAATAGAGAGCTTTCTATTTTCATGTGCTGTTATGATGCTCTGCAGCATCATTTCATTTTTGGACGTGATAGACTCTTTTACACTTCCTTTAGGACTGTTCTAGTGGTTAGTAACACAATCAACTTTTATTTATTTGGAAAGGTTTAGTTTTTTTATTTCTGAAGTGATATTACTCCAGTTGAAGGTTTTTGTTTGGAAGTATTTCTTCTTGTTTAATTATCTTGCCATGTGGGGATTTCTCAGCTACTTTTTAAAAATAACCTCTTTATTACTTTTCTCCTATATTGTTTTTGTAAGACTCCTTTCATAAATATAATGGTCCACTTGACCATGTGCAGTACGTCCCATACTTTTTCCTCCATTCTGCTTAAAAAATTTGTTTTCATCATTCAATATTTATAACTACAATGTCATCAATTGTGTAATTTTTTCTCCTTTATTAGTCTGCTTTTGTGACTGTTGATTAAATTTTTAATATAGCTATTATGTTCTTCAGATTCACAATTGTTGGTTTTTAAAAATCTTTTTATTGATATCTCATTTTCTTTATGTATCACTTCTTCTAATATTCTTTTGTTGTCTATGTTCTGTTTTTGTTCATTAAGCAGTTTTTTCTAATCACATTTTATTGAAAACTGCACTGAATGCTAAATGTCCATCTTTACAATAAACAACTACAGTAACGGTAATTTGCACTACACTAAAACAAAACGTACTTCTGATAGCCATTATTTTTCTGTTTGGGACAGTCTTAAAAATTTCTCTTTTCTTACAAAAACGGGAATGTACCTAATGAAAGGATCAAAACAGGCCATCTTTTTAAACAAAAAGACAATATTCACAAAAGACTATAAATAGAACATGTAACTAATTGATGCAAATCTAATATAATTTGTTAAAATCAGTCACATCCAATACAGCTGAAGTGTTCTTGTATAAAACACAACGTGAAGAAAAGAAGACTTTATCAATGTCTTAAAAAGTGGGTTTGTTCATAGACAATCTGACAAGTTACCATTAAAAGTGTTTCCTGTGACATAAGAAAATGCAACACTATTTTTCTTGAACCCTTTTAGTGCAAGACTTCCCACTAAATAAAATAGCAGAGGATCTGAAACTGAGAAAATATACTTGATTACAAACAGCGTGTGAAACTTAATACTTTTTTTTTTTTTTTTGCATTATCAGAGGCTTTTACTGAACTTACAACCAACTTGCCCGCTCAGTATGCAGTTCAGATGTGAGAGACGCTTCTCTGTACAGGAGCCGGTACTGTCTTCAATCCTATGTGTGAGGATGTCTACCACAGGCAAACAGTTTACTCCATATTTTCTAGTAATGTGATCTTCCTATTAGCAAAATGCTGTAACCAGTCCCTGTAGACTGAAGGGACTCAAGTCACAAGATGGGGATTTCCTCCTCATGGTTTTTATTTTGATGTTTGAAGTCTTGATGCAACATTCTGAGCAGGGTGTTCCAGACCTGCTGTGCCCAAGGGACTGATAAAGGAAAAAGTTGTATTCATTCTTTGTGATTTGACGCACAGATGAAAAACTAAACACATAATAACGGAAGTTGGTGGTTAATAAATCACATCCTAGTCTTTCAGAGCTTCCGTAAGCAGAAGACATCTTCAGTTTTCTAGGTCTTGCAGTTTTAACACTGCAAAACCAATGAGCGTATGTCCAGAATCAGCTAAAAAGAGCGTCAGATTCTTTTTCTCTTAGTTTGTCTATTTTTCACTGTCTCTTCTTCAAAAGTGTATCTGAATGATTACCTTCCGGCATTCTCTGTTATTACTCGTTGGGGTGCTCTCGATTGTCCCCGTGTTTGAGGGCTGGTTGGGAGAGGGTGCTTGGGAAGGATGTGCCACTGTGGGGAGTTTGTGAGTCACCGGGATGCCTCCAGGGAATGTCCCTTCCATGGATGCAGGAAGTCCTCCTGGACCCACGCCCAAGATGCCTGGATGAATTTCTTGCTGGTCTATTTCCCACCAAAGCAAAGATGTGACAAAGAATTCCTCGTTCACACAGTTTCTTAAGCTTCCTGGGATGCGACCTGTGATGGCTCGGCGGAGCTCGGTGGCAGTTGTCTCCCTCATCTCCAGTGACACCTGCTGGCTGTAGCAGGCAGTGAGAGGAGTGCAGATGAGATTGGGGGCATCTTTCAACGGACCCTGAGCAAAGCTAAAGGGCTGCGACTCATTCACGTCGACGACTGCCCCTCGTATCCTGCCTTCCTTGAGGGCCTGTGCTAAGGCTCTCTCGTCCACCAGGCCACCACGGGCTGCGTTCACAAGGAATGCTCCCTGCCTCATCTGCTTTATGGTAAAGTCATTGATGAGGTGGTGCTTATGTTCGTTGAGACTGCAGTGCAAGGAGACGCAGTCGCTCTGATACAGCCAATCCTGCAGGGTGTAGACCCTCTGCATGCCCAGGGACTGCTCGATCCCATCCTGCAAGTAGGGGTAATAAAATATGACGCTGAATCCAAAGGCTGTGGCTGGAACTGCAAAAGCCTGCTGCGTGCGACCCTAGCCGATGAGGCCCAGCGTCTTCCCACGAATGCGGGCCACTCCCGAGGCCACCTCGCAGATCTGCTCCATGCTCTGAACCCGCTTGCCTTCCCACAGTGCCTGGTACAGCCATGTGTTCCTCCGGTACATGTTGAGAATGTGGCAGTTGGTGGAATTGGCTGTCTCTTCCACGGCTGCGGACGGGATGTTTCACACAGCAATTCCGAGCTCGCTGGCAGCCTTGATGTCCACGTTGTCATAGCCACTGCCCACCCCCACGAGCACTCTCAAGGACTTGAAATTTGCCAGAACCTCCCTGGTGAGGTGATTGTGTGGTGCATCATGGGGCCCACGGCTCTGTTTAGAACTTTCTCGTGGATTTCCTGCGTGGACTGCATCATAGAAGGCCACGGTGGCCAGGTCCTTCAGGATGGGCATGTCCACAGTGCAGTCACGGCCGACCAGGAACGCTGCCAGTGAGCGGGGGCTTAGGGGGTCTTTCGTGATCTGGCGGCGAATTCCTTCACAAATTCTGTCCAATTGCTGTCTCTTGACTTAGCGCTTATCCACAGGGCCATTCTTTACGGAACTTTGCAACTCTCAGATCAAAAGGTAAAGCAGTCCTCTAAGAACTTAGGGGAACTCGCAGGAGTCTGTGTGCATGATGTCACTATGAACCCAATATAAATTTGTTCACAAACTCTATAGTTCACACGATGGGCTGTCCGTCTCTTTAAGGGAATATAGCTTCATTGGTTCAAAACCATTTAAGGTGATGAAACCCATTTGGTTGCAACTCAGCCACCATCGCGCAGTCAATCAACGAATCTCACCACGACCCCAGGTCTGGAGCTCCTGGAGTCCGCGACCGCTGGGGGTGGAGACGGCTTCGGCCTGGTGCAGCCAGGTCCTTGCTCCTGCTCTGAGCCTCGGGCGTGGGTTGGGGGTCCACCCGGGTGTCCCGCATGGTGTCTAAGCTCCTCCCTTGCCGGAGCCCTGCGGACTGGAGGAGTGTTCATATCATTAAGGAGCTTTGATAATTATTTTGATTTTTAAAATTATATAATGCAAAAACAACAACAACAAAGAATAAACCTACAAATTTTGACCTTTAAAAGTCAACAAAGATTTTTAAAGGTCAATATTTGTAGGTTTATTTTATTTCTTCAATTGGGACATGTTTTCTTCCTTTTCTGTATGCCCTGCAATCTTTTGATGAGATTCAGAAATTTATAAAACAACTGTGTAATGTAGTATGTACAAACTTGCTTACTACAAGATAATACAACAATCAGTGAGGCTGTACATCCTGGTACTTCATTAACAGTGTCTTCAATGTGTCTTCTCTGGGCTTGTGTGTGTATTTTTAAGGTAAAGATATTTTTTCCCATTGTTTTCCAGACACTGTAGTCCTTTGCTTCCGCAGTTGATTGTAGTGTTTGTTTCTCTGAGGCTGTGGTAAGCATGTAACTTCTCTTCTCAGCAGTCATAAGTTATCATTCTCACTACTCTGCCATTTCCTTTAGCATTCCCTGTTTGGGGAGACAGAATCTAGTCATCAGCGGTAGCCCACAAAGCCAAACCTTTGAACATATGTTCCACTGTTCTCATTCTATACTGAGGGATATACTAAAAGTTGGACGTTTTCTCTTGAGCCCAATTGCTGTTCTGGGAAAGAAGAAGGGATGTGGTGAATATAAGCCAGACCTGGTTGCCTCGTACAGCAAGCTTTTCCAACCCGCCTTGTTTTGTTTTTGTTATGGCTCTGTTTTGTTTTAGGTTTTTAGCAGCCTGCAGCAATGGTTTTTGGGTTCTGTGTCTAGTGATAAGTGGAAAAGGGGGATGAGGAAAGGGCCTTACTGGCTCAACCAGAAACAGAAACTAAGAACTCATGGCTGTAGTCTCCCGTGGATGCCCCTGTCCTACAGTAAAGGAAATGTCTTTGGAATGTAAAAAGAGAGAGAATAATAGGCAACAGCCCAATAGGGAAGAATGAACAAATAACAAAGATGAGAGGTTCAAAGGCCAAGGAGAAAACCTTAAAAATGTGGTGTTGGAAGTTCTGCTTCAAAGAAATTGGTTCTGGAAAATTCTAAATTTACTTCTTTTGCTGCCACAGGTGGAAATTTCCTACCCTATGCTTATTATGCTCTTAAATCTTCTAAGGCTTCTCTGTTCATCCACTAACATTCCAGGGCATTCACAGTGACAGCCAAAGTTCGCCTCTTCTTTCTGCTATTCCCATGAAGCCCTTGTGGTCTGAGTGCTTTTCCATTGTTTTTGGGATCTGAGGAAATCTGCACATTTTGTGAGACTTTTATGTTAAGCTGTTTTGTAAAAATCTGTGCCTCATGTCAGAAGTTTGTGAGAGTAAAAGTGCAGGCATTGGGGTTTGGTTCACATATTTCAGAAACACCAAGGACAAATGTTTCTTCCTCATAATTTTCAGTCCTATTATTTCAAATGTGTTCCTGCAAAAAAATCAGAAAAAATATTTATCAGAGCCCAAAGCACCTCAGCACATATGATAAAGTTGAATCTTCTATTTCACTTTATTCTTTTTTTCATCTCTGGTAATGTAGGTCAAAAAGTTTTCTTTCCCTTAGTAGAAACTAACTTAGAAATGTGAACTCTCTATGCCAAACATGTCACCTGTGGAATAGTTTATTGTATCTACTCATCTCAAAGAATTTTTAAGGACCTTAATCCATAGAAAAACTTAGAAACATGCCAGGAATAGAACAAATTCTTAACTGTTACATTATTTCTTAATGAGTTATTTTATTAATTAATCTTATATAAAGCTTAGTGGGACTGTGATCTGTACGTTTTCCCTGTCCTGTTTTTACGTATGTCAAATTAGCCTATAACTTTAGCTTCAGGGGTTTCAGAAAACATACTTGAATTTATGTGTTATATAAAAAGTGAATTGGATGGTATGCACATCACATTAAGAAAAGTTTTAGTTTGTGTCTAAGTTCACTGCATAGAAAAACTTATCATTAGTGTTTCCATTTACTTTCCTCAACATTTATCTGAATGATAGTATAATTTATTTCTAATTGCTTATTATATTGTAGTTTTCCACAGCATATTTTACAATATTCATGTTGTTCCCATATGTAAAAATGTAAGGCTTTTCTTTGTTTTAAAAATAATAAATTATAGGCCAGTGCTGTGTTTCATGCTTGTAATCACAGCACATTAAAAGGTTGAGATAGGTGGATCACGAGGTCAGGAGTTCAAGACCAGCCTGGCCAACATGGTGAAATCCTGTCTCTACTAAAACTACAAAAAATATCGCCGGCGAGGAGCGGTGACTCAAGCCTGTAATCCCAGTACTTTGGGAGGCCGAGACGGGTGGATCACGAGGTCAGAAGATCAAGACCTTCCTGGCTAACACGGTGAAACCCCGTGTATACTAAAAATACACAAAAATTAGCCGGGCGTGATGGTGGGCGCCTGTAGTCCCAGCTACTCAGGAGGCTGAGGCAGGAGAATGGCGTGAACCAGGGAGGTGGAGGTTGCAGTGAGCCGAGGTCTCGCCACTACACTCCAGCCTGGGTGACAAAGCGAGACTGCATCTCAAAAAATTAAAAAAAATAAATAAATTATAGCCTTTCCATTTGTATAAAAAGAGGAGTAATATATTAAGAACATAATAAAAAGTGTCTCTAATATCATTGAAATCTTTATTAAAATTTTCTTCTAAATGCTCTTTATGGGAGATTATAATGTATTTGTTGTGCAATTTTGTTACTCTAACCATATGCTAAGAATTCAAAATCTGCTCTTTATGGGAGCCCAGTTATGGTTGAACATGCTAGTTATCTAGAAAGAGTCTTCTTCTGTTGCATGCTTTGTTTATTCGGTATTTCACAGGCTAATGTTTATTTAATTTTATTTTCTAATATTATATATTCTTGTATTTCCTTGTTAGGATAGGCTGCATTACATTATTTAATTGTGTTTTTAGATTCTGCCTATATATTATAATTTTGTATGACTATATTCAACTGTGTACAGTTGAATATGAATCAGTCAAATATGAATCAACCACACGTCTATTGCCAACATAATTCTCTGTTCATTTGCCTGTATAAACATTACTCATACTTTATTTATGACTTGTGTATTTGTTTAATTAGTTGGTGGTCAATTATTTTTTTAATCCTCTCTGGGTGAGTAGTTGTGGAAATTGTCTTAATTTCCACTTCTATATATTAATGAATCTATATTACTTTTGTGTTGAAGGAAACACTTCTGTGATTTGAAGTTAATTTTTTTTTACCTCTGAACTTTTTACTGGCCTCCTGCTCCCCAAAGGGACCTTGCTTCTGATGGCTTAGCACAACAAAACGTCTGTATTGTTGGTCTCAGACACCACTTTCCCGTCCACTATCCTGCGGGGGCTGTTCTTTTGGATAGCTTGCAGGTATTTACTGCTGTCCAGAGCATCCAGGAGATTGAAATCCTCCCCGTCTTCTAGCAGGCGGCAGTAAGTGGCAATCTCAGCCTCCAGCTCGACCTTGATGTTCCACAGGTCCTCGTGCTCTTGGGCGTGGTACCTCTCTTCCCGGTTTTGGGATAGCTCTGACTCCAGGTGCAGCAGGATCCTGTTGAGCTGCTCCATCTGCGTCTACCTCCCTTAGGCTGTTCTCCAAGCTGACTTTCAGATATCTCATTGAGTACAGTTCGATATCCAAGGACTGGACTGTACATCTCAACCCCCTGAGCATCCTCTCAGCAGCTCCGATCTCAGCGGGCTGCATGGTGACTACTCTGGTGCTCTCCTCAGTCTGCTGGGACCAGTACTTGTCCAGCTCCTCTCAGCTGTTCTCAGCCATCTCGTCATATTGGGCCCAGATGCCTGTCATGATCTTGCCAAGGTCCTGAGACTTGGGGACATCTACCTCCATGGTCAACCAAGAGCTGGAAATCAGGTATTATAGACCTTTAACTTCCTCCTCATGATTCTTCATGAAGAGCAGCTCTTCCTTGAGGGCCTCCATCTCTGTCTCCAGCAGAGGCTGACTGACACTGGTGTTATCAGTAATGTCGCACTCCACAAACTGGCACATGGCCAGGTCTGTCTCACACTTTAAAGTCATCAGCAGCAAAATGATCATTGTCAGTCTGCAGGATGATGCAGGCACTGTCTGCAGCAGTGGCAAAGATTTTTTTATTAGTCTAATTGTCTGTCTTTATGCCAGTAACATAAGATTTTGATTACTGTAGATTTCTAACATGTCTTGAAATCAGGAATTGTAATGCTTCCAACTTTTTTTATGTGGTCCCCTGAAATTCCGTATACTTTGGGGAGTCACATTCTCTGTTTCTGTCAAAAATAATATTAAGAATTTCATAGGGATTGTATTAAATCTGCAGCTCACTTTGGGCATTATAGACACGTTCAAAATATTAAATTTTTAACTCTTGAACAAAAACATGTTGAAGAATAAATTGTTTAATTATCATGTATTTGTGAATTTTATGAATTTTCTTCGGTTATTGATTTCTAGTTTTAATCCATTTTGGTCAGAAATTATAGTCTGTAGCCTTCAGTTTTTATTATACTTTAAGTTCTAGGATACATGTGCAGAACGTACAGGTTTGTTATACAGGTATACATGTGTTATGTTGGTTTGCTGCACCCATCAACTCAACATTTACATTAAGTGTTCTCCTAATGCTATCCCTTTCATAGCCCCCCACCCCCAAACAGGCACTAGCGTTTGATGTTCCCTGTCCTGTGTCCACATGTTCTCATTGTTTAACTCCTACCTATGAGTGAAAACATGCAGTGTTTGTTTTTCTGTCCTTGTGATAGTTTGCTGAGAATGATGGTTTCCAGCTTCATCCATGTCCCTGCAAATGACATGAACTCATCCTTTTTTAAGG